>NC_000009.12:43382279-43389535 GCF_000001405.40 Homo sapiens | reverse complement strand
TCACTCTGTTACTTGAGTACACACATCACAAGGAAGTTTCTGAGAATGCTTCTGTCTGGTTTTTAGTAGAAGATATTCCCTTTTTCAACATAGGCCTCAAAGCGCTGCAAATGGCCACTTCCAAATATTACAAAAAGAGTGTTTCAAACCTGCTGTATGAAGGGAAGTGTTCAACTCTATGAGTTGAATGCAAACATCACAAAGAAGTTTCTGAGAATGCTTCTGTCTTGATTTTATATGAAGATATTCCCGTTTCCAACGAAACCTTCAAAGCTATCCAAATATCCACCTGCAGATCCTACAAAAAGAGTGTTTCCAAAATGCTGTATCAAAACAAAGGTTCAACTCTGTTAGTTGAGAACACACATCGCAAATAAGTTTCTGAGAATGCTTCTGTCTAGTTTTTATTTGAAGATATTTCCTTTTTCACCACAGGCCTGAAAGCGCTTGAAACGTCCGGTTGCAGATACTACAGAAAGAGTGTTTCAAACCTGCTCTATGAAAGGGAATGTTCAGTTCTGTGACTTGAATGCAAACATCACAAAGAAGTTCCTGAGAATGCTTCTCCCTAGATTTTATATGTAATCCCGTTTCCAACGAAATCCTCAAAGCTATCCAAATATCCACTTTCAGATTCCACAAAAAGAGTGTTTCAAAACTGCTCTGTAAAAAGAAAGGTTCATCTCTGTTAGTTGAATACACACATCACAAACAAGTTTCTGAGAATGCTTCTGTCTAGTTTTTATGGGAAGATATTTCCTTTTTCAACATAGGCCTCAAAGCGCTCCAAATGTCCACTTCCAGGTAGTGCAAAGAGTGTTTCAAACCTGCTCTATGAAGGAAGTGTTCAACTCTATGAGTTGAATGCAAACATCACAGAGAAGTTTCTGAGAATGCTTCTGTCTTGATTTTATATGAAGATATTCCCGTTTCCAACGAAACCTTAAAAGCTATCCAAATATCCACCTGCAGATCCTACAAAAAGAGTGTTTCCAAAATGCTGTATCAAAACAAAGGTTCAACTCTGTTAGTTGAGGACACACATCGCAAATAAGTTTCTGAGAATGCTTCTGTCTAGTTTTTATTTGAAGATATTTCCTTTCTCACCACAGGCCTGAAAGCGCTTGAAACGTCCACTTGCAGATACTACAGAAAGAGTGTTTCAAACCTGCTCTATGAAAGGGAATGTTCAGTTCTGTGACTTGAATGCAAACATCACAAAGAAGTTCCTGAGAATGCTTCTCTCTAGATTTTATATGTAATCCCGTTTCCAACGAAATCCTCAAAGCTATCCAAATATCCACTTTCAGATTCCACAAAAAGAGTGTTTCAAAACTGCTCTGTAAAAAGAAAG
Organism: Homo sapiens; assembly: GCF_000001405.40. Taxonomy (NCBI): domain Eukaryota; kingdom Metazoa; phylum Chordata; class Mammalia; order Primates; family Hominidae; genus Homo; species Homo sapiens. Next base: position 43,388,181 of record NC_000009.12, on the reverse strand, counting down.
GTTCATCTCTGTTAGTTGAATACACACATCACAAACAAGTTTCTGAGAATGCTTCTGTCTAGTTTTTATGGGAAGATATTTCCTTTTTCAACATAGGCCTCAAAGCGCTCCAAATGTCCACTTCCAGGTAGTGCAGAAAGAGTGTCTCAAACCTGGTATATAACAGGGAACATTCTACTCTGGGACTTGAATGAAAACATCACAATGCAGTTTCAGAGAAGGCTTCCGTCTAGATTTTATATGAAGATATTCCCGTTTCCAAATAAACCTTCAAAGCTATCCGAATATCCACCTGCAGATTCTACAAAAAGAGTGTTTCCAAAATGCTGTATCCACACAAAGGTCCAACTCTGTTAATTGAGGACATACAGCACCAAGAAGTGTCTGAGAATGCTTCTGTCCAGATTTTATATGAAGATATCCCGTTTCCAAGAAATCCTCAAAGGTATCCAAATATCTACTTCCAGATTCTACAAAAAGACTGTTTCAAAACGGCTCTGTCAAAAGTAAGGTTCAACTCTGTTACTTGAGTACACACATCACAAGGAAGTTCTGAGAATGCTTCTGTCTGGTTTTTATGAGAAGATATTTCCTTTTTCAACATAGGCCTCAAAGCGCTGCAAATGGCCACTTCCAAATATTACAAAAAGAGTGTTTCAAACCTGCTGTATGAAGGGAAGTGTTCAACTCTATGAGTTGAATGCAAACATCACAAAGAAGTTTCTGAGAATGCTTCTGTCTTGATTTTATATGAAGATATTCCCGTTTCCAACGAAACCTTCAAAGCTATCCAAATATCCACCTGCAGATCCTACAAAAAGAGTGTTTCCAAAATGCTGTATCAAAACAAAGGTTCAACTCTGTTAGTTGAGAACACACATCGCAAATAAGTTTCTGAGAATGCTTCTGTCTAGTTTTTATTTGAAGATATTTCCTTTTTCACCACAGGCCTGAAAGCGCTTGAAACGTCCGGTTGCAGATACTACAGAAAGAGTGTTTCAAACCTGCTCTATGAAAGGGAATGTTCAGTTCTGTGACTTGAATGCAAACATCACAAAGAAGTTCCTGAGAATGCTTCTCCCTAGATTTTATATGTAATCCCGTTTCCAACGAAATCCTCAAAGCTATCCAAATATCCACTTTCAGATTCCACAAAAAGAGTGTTTCAAAACTGCTCTGTAAAAAGAAAGGTTCATCTCTGTTAGTTGAATACACACATCACAAACAAGTTTCTGAGAATGCTTCTGTCTAGTTTTTATGGGAAGATATTTCCTTTTTCAACATAGGCCTCAAAGCGCTCCAAATGTCCACTTCCAGGTAGTGCAGAAAGAGTGTCTCAAACCTGCTCTATGAAGGAAGTGTTCAACTCTATGAGTTGAATGCAAACATCACAGAGCAGTTTCTGAGAATGCTTCTGTCTAGATTTTATATGAAGATATTCCCGTTTCCAACGAAACCTTCAAAGCTATCCGAATATCCACCTGCAGATCCTACAAAAAGAGTGTTTCCAAAATGCCGTATCAAAACAAAGGTTCAACTCTGTTAGTTGAGAACACACATCGCAAATAAGTTTCTGAGAATGCTTCTGTCTAGTTTTTATTTGAAGATATTTCCTTTCTCACCATAGGCCTGAAAGCGCTTGAAACGTCAGCTTGCAGATACTACAGAAAGAGTGTTTCAAACATGCTCTATGAAAGGGAATGTTCAGTTCTGTGACTTGAATGCAAACATCACAAAGAAGTTCCTGAGAATGCTTCTCTCTAGATTTTATATGTAATCCCGTTTCCAACGAAATCCTCAAAGCTATCCAAATATCCACTTTCAGATTCCACAAAAAGAGTGTTTCAAAACTGCTCTGTAAAAAGAAAGGTTCATCTCTGTTAGTTGAATACACACATCACAAACAAGTTTCTGAGAATGCTTCTGTCTAGTTTTTATGGGAAGATATTTCCTTTTTCAACATAGGCCTCAAAGCGCTCCAAATGTCCACTTCCAGGTAGTGCAGAAAGAGTGTTTCAAACCTGCTCTATAAAAGGGAACATTCTACTCTGTGACTTGAATGCAAACATCACAAAGCACTTTCTGAGAATGCTTCCGTCTAGATTTTATATGAAGATATTCCCGTTTCCAAGGAAATCTTCCTAGCTATCTAAATATCAACTTGCAGATTCTAGTAAAGGAATGTTTCCAAAATGCTGTATCCACACAAAGGTTCAACTCTGTTAATGGAGGACATACAGCACAAAGAACTTTCTGAGAATGCTTCTGTCTAGATTTGATATGAAGATATCCCGTTTCCAAAGAAATCCTAAAATGTATCCAAATATCTACTTCCAGATTCTACAAAAAGACTGTTTCAAAACGGCAATGTCAAAAGTAAGGTTCAAGTCTGTTACTTGAGTACACACATCACAAGGAAGTTTCTGAGAATGCTTCTGTCTGGTTTTTAGGAGAAGATATTTCCTTTTTCAACATAGGCCTCAAAGCGCTGCAAATGTCCACTTCCAAATATTACAAAAAGAGTGTTTCAAACCTGCTGTATGAAGGGAAGTGTTCAACTCTATGAGTTAAATGCAAACATCACAGAGAAGTTTCTGAGAATGCTTCTGTCTTGATTTTATATGAAGATATTCCCGTTTCCAACGAAACCTTCAAAGCTATCCAAATATCCACTTGCAGATTCTACAAAAAGAGTGTTTCCAAAATGTTGTATCAAAAGAAAGGTTCAACTCTGTTAGTTGAGGACACACATCGCAAATAAGTTTCTAAGAATGCTTCTGTCTAGTTTTTATTTGAAGATATTTCCTTTCTCACCATAGGCCTGAAAGCGCTTGAAATGTCCGTTTGCAGATACTACAGAAAGAGTGTTTCAAACATGCTCTATGAAAGGGAATGTTCAGTTCTGTGACGTGAATGCAAACATCACAAAGAAGTTCCTGAGAATGCTTCTCTCTAGATTTTATATGTAATCCCGTTTCCAACGAAATCCTCAAAGCTATCCAAATATCCACTTTCAGATTCCACAAAAAGAGTGTTTCAAAACTGCTCTGTAAAAAGAAAGGTTCATCTCTGTTAGTTGAATACACACATCACAAACAAGTTTCTGAGAATGCTTCTGTCTAGTTTTTATGGGAAGATATTTCCTTTTTCAACATAGGCCTCAAAGCGCTCCAAATGTCCACTTCCAGGTAGTGCAGAAAGAGTGTTTCAAACCTGCTCTATAAAGGGGAATAGTCAACTCTGTGACTTGAATGCAAACATCACAAAGCACTTTCTGAGAATGCTTCCGTCTAGATTTGATATGAAGATATTCCCGTTTCCAAGGAAATCTTCCAAGCTATCTAAATATCAATTGCAGATTCTACTAAAGGAAAGTTTCCAAAATGCTGTATCCACACAAAGGTTCAACTCTGTTAATTGAGGACATACAGCACAAAGAAGTTTCTGAGAATGCTTCTGTCTAGATTTTATATGAAGATATCCCGTTTCCAACGAAATCGTCAAAGGTATCCAAATATCTACTTGCAGATTCTACAAAAAGAGTGCTTCAAAACTGCTCTGTCAAAAGGAAGGTTCAACTCTGTTACTTGAGTACACACATCACAAGGAAGATTCTGAGAATGCTTCTGTCTGGTTTTTAATAGAAGATATCTCCTTTTTCACCATAGGCCTCAAAGCGCTGCAAATGGCCACTTCCAAATATTACAAAATGAGTATTTCAAACCAGCTCTATGAAAGGAAGTGTTCAACTCTATGAGTTGAATGCAAACATCACAGAGAAGTTTCTGAGAATGCTTCTGTGTTGATTTTATATGAATATATTCCCGTTTCCAACGAAACCTTCAAAGCTATCCAAATATCCACTTGCAGATTCTACAAAAAGAGTGTTTCCAAAATGTTGTATCAAAACAAAGGTTCAACTCTGTTAGTTGAGGACACACATCGCAAATAAGTTTCTGAGAATGCTTCTGTCTAGTTTTTATTTGAAGATATTTCCTTTCTCACCATAGGCCTGAAAGCGCTTGGAATGTCCGTTTTCAGATACTACAGAAAGAGTGTTTCAAACCTGCTCTATGAAAGGGAATGTTCAGTTCTGTGACGTGAATGCAAACATCACAAAGAAGTTCCTGAGAATGCTTCTCTCTAGATTTTATATGTAATCCCGTTTCCAACGAAATCCTCAAAGCTATCCAAATATCCACTTTCAGATTCCACAAAAAGAGTGTTTTAAAACTGCTGTGTAAAAAGAAAGGTTCATCTCTGTTAGTTGAATACACACATCACAAACAAGTTTCTGAGAATGCTTCTGTCTAGTTTTTATGGGAAGATATTTCCATTTTCAACATAGCCCTCAAAGCGCTCCAAATGTCCACTTCCAGGTAGTGCAGAAAGTGTGTTTGAAACCTGCTCTATAAAAGGGAATATTCTACTCTGTGACTTGAATGCAAACATCACAAAGCAGTTTCTGAGAATGTTTCCGTCTAGATTTTATATGAAGATGTTGCCGTTTCCAAGGAAATCTTCCTAGCTATCTAAATATCAACTTGCAGATTCTACTAAAGGAATGTTTCCAAAGTGCTGTATCCACACAAAGGTTCAACTCTGTTAATTGAGGACATACAGCACAAATAAGTTTCTGAGAATGCTTCTGTCTAGTTTTTATTTGAAGATATTTCCTTTCTCACCATAGGCCTGAAAGCGCTTGAAATGTCCGCTTGCAGATACTACAGAAAGAGTTTTTCAAACATGCTCTATGAAAGGGAATATTCAGTTCTGTGACTTGAATGCAAACATCACAAAGAAGTTCCTGAGAATGCTTCTCTCTAGATTTTATATGTAATCCCGTTTCCAAAGAAATCCTCAAAGCTATCCAAATATCCACTTTCAGATTCCACAAAAAGAGTGTTTCAAAACTGCTCTGTGAAAGGAAAGGTTCATCTCTGTTAGTTGAATACACACATCACAAACAAGTTTCTGAGAATGCTTCTGTCTAGTTTCTATGGGAAGATATTTCCTTTTTCAACATAGGCCTCAAAGCGCTCCAAATGTCCACTTCCAGGTAGTGCACAGAGTGTTGCAAACCTGCTCTATAAAAGGGAATATTCAACTCTGTGACTTGAATGCAAACATCACAAAGCACTTTCTGAGAATGCTTCCGTCTAGATTTTATATGAAGATATTCCCGTTTCCAAGGAAATCTCCCTAGCTATCTAAATATCAACTTGCAGATTCTACTACAGGAATGTTTCCAAAATGCTGTATCCACACAAAGGTTCAACTCTGTTAATTGAGGACATACAGCAGAAAGAAGTGTCTGAGAATGCTTCTGTCTAGATTTTATATGACGATATCCCGTTTCCAAAGAAATCCTCAAAGGTATCCAAATATCTACTTCCAGATTCTACAAAAAGAGTTTCTCAAAACTGCTCTGTCAAAAGTAAGGTTCAACTCTGTTACTTGAGTACACACATCACAAGGAAGTTTCTGAGAATGCCTCTGTCTGGTTTTTAGGAGAAGATATTTCCTTTTTCAACATAGGCCTCAAAGCGCTGCAAATGTCCACTTCCAAATATTACAAAAAGAGTGTTTCAAACCTGCTCTATGAAGGGAAGTGTTCACCTCTATGAGTTGAATGCAAACATCACAGAGAAGTTTCTGAGAATGCTTCTGTCTTGATTTTATATGAAGATATTCCCGTTTCCAACGAAACCTTCAAAGCTATCCAAATATCCACTTGCAGATTCTACAAAAAGAGTGGTTCCAAAATGTTGTATCAAAACAAAGGTTCAACTCTGTTAGTTGAAGACACACATCGCAAATAAGTTTCTGAGAATGTTTCTGTCTAGTTTTTATTTGAAGATATTTCCTTTCTCACCATAGGCCTGAAAGCGCTTGAAACGTC
>NC_000009.12:43371325-43377453 GCF_000001405.40 Homo sapiens | reverse complement strand
GTTTCCAAGGTGCTGTATCAAAACAAAGGATCAACTCTGTTAGTTGAGGACACACATCGCAAATAAGTTTCTGAGAATGCTTCTGTCTAGTTTTTATTTGAAGATATTTCCTTTCTCACAATAGGCCTGAAAGCGCTTGAAATGTCCGCTTGCAGATACTACAGAAAGAGTGTTTCAAACATGCTCTATGAAAGGGAATGTTCAGTTCTGTGACGTGAATGCAAACATCACAAAGAAGTTCCTGAGAATGCTTCTCTCTAGATTTTATATGTAATCCCGTTTCCAACGAAATCCTCAAAGCTATCCAAATATCCACTTTCAGATTCCACAAAAAGAGTGTTTCAAAACTGCTCTGTAAAAAGAAAGGTTCATCTCTGTTAGTTGAATACACACATCACAAACAAGTTTCTGAGAATGCTTCTGTCTAGTTTATATGGGAAGATATTTCCTTTTTCAACATAGGCCTCAAAGCGCTCCAAATATCCACTTCCAGGTAGTGCAGAAAGAGTGTTTGAAACCTGCTCTATAAAAGGGAATATTCTACTCTGTGACTTGAATGCAAACATCACAAAGCACTTTCTGAGAATGCTTCCGTATAGATTTTATATGAAGATGTTCCCGTTTCCAAGGAAATCTTCCTAGCTATCTAAATATCAACTTGCAGATTCTACTAAAGGAATGTTTCCTAAATGCTGTATCCACACAAAGGTTCAACTCTGTTAATTGAGGACATACAGCACAAAGAAGTTTCTGAGAATGCTTCCGTCTAGAGTTTATATGAAAATATCCCGTGTCCAACGAAATCCTCAAAGGTATCAAAATATCCTCTTGCAGATTCTACAAAAAGAGTGTTTCAAAACTGCTCTGTCAAAAGTAAGGTTCAACTCTGTTATTTGAGTACACACATCACAAGGAAGTTTCTGAGAATGCTTCTGTCTGGTTTTTAGGAGAAGATATTTCCTTTTTCACCATAGGCCTGAAAGCGCTGCCAATGTCCACTTCCAAATATTACAAAAAGAGTGTTTCAAACCTGCTCTATGAAAGGAAGTGTTCCAATCTATGAGTTGAATGCAAACATCACAGAGAAGTTTCTGAGAATGCTTCTGTCTTGATTTTATAATGAAGATATTCTCGTTTCCTACGAAACCTTCAAAGGTATCCAAGTATCCACCTGCAAATTCTACAAAAAGAGTGTTTCCAAAATGCTGTATCAAATCAAAGGTTCAACTCTATTAGTTGAGGACACACATCGCAAATAAGTTTCTGAGAATGCTTCTGTCTAGTTTTTATTTGAAGATATTTCCTTTCTCACCATAGGCCTGAAAGCGCTTGAAACGTCGGCTTGCAGATACTACAGAAAGAGTGCTTGAAACCTGCTCTATGAAAGGGAATGTTCAGTTCTGTGACTTGAATGCATACATCACAAAGAAGTTCCTGAGAATGCTTCTCCCTAGATTTTATATGTAGTCCCTATTCCAACGAAATCCCCAAAGCTATCCAAATATCCAATTTCAGATTCCACAAAAAGAGTGTTTTAAAACTGCTCTGTAAAAACAAACGTTCATCTCTGTTAGTTGAATACACACATCACAAACAAGTTTCTGAGAATGCTTCTGTCTAGTTTTTATGGGAAGATATTTCCATTTTCAACATATGCCTCAAAGCGCTCCAAATGTCTACTTCCAGGTAGTGCAGAAAGAGTGTTTCAAACCTGCTCTATAAAAGGGAACATTCTACCCTGTGACTTGAATGAAAACATCACAAAGCAGTTTCTGAGAATGCTTCCGTCTAGATTTTATATGAAGATATTCCCGTTTCCAGGGAAATCTTCCTAGCTATCTAAATATCAACTTGCAGATTCTACTAAAGGAATGTTTCCAAAATGCTGTATCGACACAAAGGTTCAACTCTGTTAATTGAGGACATACAGCACAAAGTAGTTTCTGAGAATGCTTCTGTCTTGGTTTTATATGAAGATATCCCGTTTCCAACGAAATCGTCAAAGGTATCCAAATATCTACTTGCAGATTCTACAAAAAGAGTGTTTCAAAATGGCTCTGTCAAAAGGAATGTTCAACTCTGTTACTTGAGTACACACATCACAAGGAAGTTTCTGAGAATGCTTCTGTCTGGTTTTTAGGAGAAGATATTTCCTTTTTCACCATAGGCCTCAAAGCGCTGCCAATGTCCTCTTCCAAATATTACAAAAAGAGTGTTTCAAACCTGCTCTATGAAAGGAAGTGTTCCACTCTATGAGTTGAATGCAAACATCACAGAGAATTTTCTGAGAATGCTTCTGTCTTGATTTTATATGAAGATATTCCCCTTTCCAATGAAACCTTCAAAGGTATCCAAGTATCCACCTGCAGATTCTACCAAAAGGGTGTTTCCAAAGTGCTGTATCAAAACAAAGGTTCAACTCTGTTAGTTGAGGACACACATCGCAAATAAGTTTCTGAGAATGCTTCTGTCCAGTTTTTATTTGAAGATATTTCCTTTCTCACCAGAGGCCTGAAAGCGCTTGAAATATCCACTTGCAGATACTACAGAAAGAGTGTTTCAAACATGCTATATGAAAGGGAATGTTCAGTTCTGTGACGTGAATGCAAACATCACAAAGAAGTTCCTGAGAATGCTTCTCTCTAGATTTTATATGTAATCCCGTTTCCAACGAAATCCTCAAAGCTATCCAAATATCCACTTTCAGATTACACAAAAAGAGTGTTTCAAAACTGCTCTGTAAAAAGAAAGGTTCATCTCTGTTAGTTGAATACACACATCACAAACAAGTTTCTGAGAATGCTTCTGTGTAGTTTTTATGGGAAGATATTTCCTTTTTCAATATAGGCCTCAAGGCGCTCCAAATGTCCACTTCCAGGGAGTGCACAGACTGTTTTAAACCTGCTCTATGAAAGGGAACATTCTACTCTGTGACTTGAATGAAAACATCACAAAGCAGTTTCTGAGAATGCTTCCGTCTACATTTTATATGAAGATATTCCCGTTTCCAAGGAAATCTTCCTAGCTATCTAAATATCAACTTGCAGATTCTACTAAAGGAATGTTTCCAAAATGCTGTATCCACACAAAGGTTCAACTCTGTTTATTGAGGACATACAGCACAAAGAAGTTTCTGAGAATTCTTCTGTCTAGATTTTATATGAAGATATCCCGTTTCCAAAGAAATCCTCCAAGGTATCCAAATATCTACTTCCAGATTCTACCAAAAGACTGTTTCAAAACTGCTCTGTCTAAAGTAAGGTTCAACTCTGTTACTTGAGTACACACATCACAAGGAAGTTTCTGAGAATGCTTCTATCTGGTTTTTAGGAGAAGATATTTCCTTTTTCAACATAGGCCTCAAAGCGCTGCCAATGTCCACTTCCAAATATTACAAAAAGAGTGTTTCAAACCTGCTCTATGAAGAGAAGTGTTCAACTCTATGAGTTGAATGCAAACATCACAGAGCAGTTTCTGAGAGTGCTTCTGTCTTGATTTTATATGAAGATATTCCCGTTTCCAACGAAACCTTCAAACCTATCCAAATATCCACCTGCAGATTCTACCAAAAGAGTGTTTCCAAAATGTTGTATCAAAACAAAGGTTCAACTCTGTTCGTTGAGTACACACATCGCAAATAAGTTTCTGAGAATGCTTTTGTCTAGTTTTTATTTGAAGATATTTCCTTTCTCACCATAGGCCTGAAATCGTTTGAAATGGCCGCTTGCAGATACTACAGAAAGAGTGTTTCAAACCTGCTCTATGAAAGGGAATGTTCAGTTCTGTGACTTCAATGCAAACATCACAAAGAAGTTGCTGAGAATGCTTCTCCCTAGATTTTATATGTAATCCCGTTTCCAAGGAAATCCTCAAACCTATCCAAATATCCAATTTCAGATTCCACAAAAAGAGTGTTTTAAAACTGCTCTGTAAGAAGAAAGGTTCATCTCTGTTAGTTGAATACACACATCACAAACAAGTTTCTTAGAATGCTTCTGTCTAGTTTTTATGGGAAGATATTTCCTTTTTCAACATAGGCCTCAAAGCGCTCCAAATGTCCACTTCCAGGTAGTGCAGAAAGAGTGCTTCAAACCTGCTCTATTAAAGGGAATATTCTACTCTGTGACTTGAATGCAAACATCACAAGGCACTTTCTGAGAATGCATCCGTCTAGATTTTATATGAAGATATTCCCGTTTCCAAGGAAATCTTCCTAGCTATCTAAATATCAACTTGCAGATTCTAGTAAAGGAATGTTTCCAAAATGCTGTATCCACACAAAGGTTCATCTCTGTTAGTTGAATACACAAATCACAAACAAGTTTCTGAGAATGCTTCTGTCTAGTTTTTATGGGAAGATATTTCCTTTTTCAACATAGGCCTCAAAGCGCTCCAAATGTCCACTTCCAGGTAGTGCAGAAAGAGTGTTTCAAACCTGCTCTATAAAAGGGAACATTCTACTCTGTGACTTGAATGAAAACATCACAAAGCAGTTTCTGAGAATGCTTCCGTCTAGATTTTATATGAAGATATTCCCGTTTCCAAGGAAATCTTCCTAGCTATCTAATTATCAACTTGCAGATTCTACCAAAGGAATGTTTCCAAAATGCTGAATCGAAACAAAGGTTCAACTCTGTTAATTGAGGACATACAGCACAAAGTAGTTTCTGAGAATGCTTCAGTCTAGATTTTATATGAAGATATCCCGTGTCCAACGAAATCTTCAAAGCTATCAAAATATCCACTTGCAGATTCTACAAAAAGAGTGTTTCAAAACTGCTCTCTCAAAAGTAAGGTTCAACTCTGTTACTTGAGTACACACATCACAAGGAAGTTTCTGAGAATGCTTCTGTCTGGTTTTTAGGAGAAGATATTTCCTTTTTCACCATAGGCCTGAAAGCGCTGCCAATGTCCACTTCCAAATATTACAAAAAGAGTGTTTCAAAACAGCTCTATGAAAGGAAGTGTTCACCTCTATGAGTTGAATGCAAACATCACAGAGAAGTTTCTGAGAATGCTTCTGTGTTGATTTTATATGAAGATATTCCCGTTTCCAACGAAACCTTCAAAGCTATCTAAATATCCACCTGCAGATCCTACAAAAAGAGTGTTTCCAAAATGCTGTATCAAAACAAAAGTTCAACTCTGTTAGTTGAGGACACACATCGCAAATAAGTTTCTGAGAATGCTTCTGTCTAGTTATTATTTGAAGATATTTCCTTTCTTACCATAGGCTTGAAAGTGCTTGAAACGTCCGCTTGCAGATACTACAGAAAGAGTGTTTCAAACCTGCTCTATGAAAGGGAATGTTCAGTTCTGCGACTTGAATTCAAACATCACAAAGAAGTTCCTGAGAATTCTTCTCTCTAGATTTTATATGTAATACCGTTTCCAACGATATCCTCAAAGCTATCCAAATATCCACTTTCAGATTCCACAAAAAGAGTGTTTTAAAACTGCTCTGTAAAAAGAAAGGTTCATCTCTGTTAGTTGAATACACATATCACAAACAAGTTTCTGAGAATGCTTCTGTCTAGTTTTTATGGGAAGATATTTCCTTTTTCAACATAGGCCTAAAAGCGCTCCAAATGTCCACTTCCAGGTAGTGCAGAAAGAGTGTTTCAAACCGGCTCCATAAAAGCGAATATTGTACTCTGTGACTTGAATGCAAACGTCACAAAGCACTTTCTTAGAATGCTTCCGTCTAGATTTTATATGAAGATATTCCCGTTTCCAAGGAAATCTTCCTAGCTATCTAAATATCAACTTGCAGATTCTACTAAAGGAATGTTTCCAAAATGCTGTATCCAAACAAAGGTTCAACTCTGTTAATTGAGGACATACAGCACAAAGTAGTTTCTGAGAATGCTTCTGTCTTGGTTTTATATGAAGATATCCCGTTTCCAACGAAATCGTCAAAGGTATCCAAATATCTACTTGCAGATTCTACAAAAAGAGTGTTTCAAAATGGCTCTGTCAAAAGGAATGTTCAACTCTGTTACTTGAGTACACACATCACAAGGAAGTTTCTGAGAATGCTTCTGTCTGGTTTTTAGGAGAAGATATTTCCTTTTTCACCATAGGCCTCAAAGCGCTGCCAATGTCCTCTTCCAAATATACAAAAAGAG
>NC_000009.12:43333269-43370405 GCF_000001405.40 Homo sapiens | reverse complement strand
ACGTGAATGCAAACATCACAAAGAAGTTCCTGAGAATTCTTCTCTCTAGATTTTGTATGTAATCCCGTTTCCAACGAAATCCTCAAAGCTATCCAAATATCCACTTTCAGATTCCACAAAAAGAGTGTTTCAAAACTGCTCTGTAAAAAGAAAGGTTCATCTCTGTTAGTTGAATACACACATCACAAACAAGTTTCTGAGAATGCTTCTGTCTAGTTTTTATGGGAAGATATTTCCTTTTTCAACATAGGCCTCAAAGCGCTCCAAATGTCCACTTCCAGGTAGTGCAGAAAGAATGTTTCAAACCTGCTCTATAAAAGGGAACATTCTACTCTGTGACTTGAATGAAAACATCACAAAGCAGTTTCTGAGAATGCTTCCGTCTAGATTTTATATGAAGATATTCCCGTTTCCAAGGAAATCTTCCTAGCTATCTAAATATCAACTTGCAGATTCTACTAAAGGAATGTTTCCAGAATGCTGTATCAAAACAAAGGTTCAACTCTGTTAATTGAGGACATACAGCACAAAGAAGTTTCTGAGAATGCTTCTGTCTAGATTTTATATGAAGATATCCCGTGTCCAACGAAATCCTCAAAGGTATCAAAATATCCACTTGCAGATTCTACAAAAAGAGTGTTTCAAAACTGCTCTGTCAAAAGGAAAGTTCATCTCTGTTACTTGAGTACACACATCACAAGGAAGTTTCTGAGAATGCTTCTGTCTGGTTTTTAGGAGAAGATATTTCGTTTTTCACCATAGGCCTCAAAGCGCTGCCAATGTCCACTTCCAAATATTACAAAAAGAGTGTTTCAAACCTGCTCTATGAAAGGAAGTGTTCCACTCTATGAGTTGAATGCAAACATCACAGAGAAGTTTCTGAGAATGCTTCCGTCTAGATTTTATATGAAGAGATTCCCGTTTCCAACGAAATCTTCCTATCTAAATATCAACTTGCAGATACTACTAAAGGAATGTTTCCAAAATGCTGTATCCAAACAAAGGTTCAACTCTGTTAGTTGAGGACACACATCGCAAATAAGTTTCTGAGAATGCTTCTGTCTAGTTTTTATTTGAAGATATTTCCTTTCTCACCACAGGCCTGAAAGCGCTTGAAATGTCCGGTTGCAGATACTACAGAAAGAGTGTTTCAAACATGCTCTATGAAAGGGAATGTTCAGTTCTGTGACTTGAATGCAAACATCACAAAGAAGTTCCTGAGAATGCTTCTCTCTAGATTTTGTATGTAATCCCGTTTCCAACGAAATCCTCAAAGGTATCCAAATATCCACTTTCAGATTCCACAAAAAGAGTGTTTTAAAACTGCTCTGTAAAAAGAAAGGTTCATCTCTGTTAGTTGAATACACACATCACAAACAAGCTTCTGAGAATGCTTCTTTCTTGATTTTATATGAAGATATTTCCGTTTCCAACAAAATCTTCAAAGCTATCCAAATATCCACCCGCAGATTCTACAAAAACAGTGTTTCCAAAATGCTGTATCAAAACAAAGGTTCAACTCTGTTAGTTGGGGACACACATCACTAATAAGTTTCTGAGAATGTTTATGTCCAGTTTTTATTTGAAGATATTTCCTTTCTCACCATAGGCCTGAAAGCGCTTGAAATGTCCACTTGCAGATACTACAGAAAGAGTGTTTCAAACCTGCTCTATGAAAGGGAATGTTCAATTCTGTGACTTGAATTCAAACATCACAAAGAAGTTCCTGAGAATGCTTCTCTCTAGAGTTTATATGTAATCCCGTTTCCAACGAAATCCTCAAAGCTATCCAAATATCCACTCTCAGATTCCACAAAAAGAGTGTTTCAAAATTGCTCTGTATAAAGAAAGTTCAACTCAGTTGAATACACACATCACAAACAAGTTTCTGAGAATGCTTCTGTCTAGTTTTTATCTGAAGATATTTCCTTTTACACCGTAGGCCTGAAAGCGTTCCAAATGTCCACTTCGACATGCTACAAAAAGAATATTTGAAACCTACTCTATGAAAGGGAATGTTCAACCCAATGAGTTGAACGCAAACATCACAAAGTAGTTTCTGAGTGTGCTTCTGTCTATATTTTATCTGAAAGTATTCCCTTTTCCAATGAAATCTACAAAGCTATCCAAATATCCACTTGCAGACTCTACAAAAGGAATTTTTCCAAAATGCTGCATCCAAACAAGGGTTGAACTCTGTTAATTGAGGACATACATCACAAAGGAGTTTCTGAGAAAGCTTCTGTCTTGATTTTATATGAAGATATATCCGTTTCCAATGAAAACCTCAATGCTACCCGAATATTCACTTGCCGATTGTACAAAAAGTGTGTTTCAAAACTACTCTGCCAAAAGATAGGTTCAACTCTGTTAATTGAGTATACACATCTCTAAGAAGATTCTGAGAATGCTTTCTTCTAGTTTTTTTGGGAAGATATTTCCTTCTTCACCACAGGCCTCGAAGCGCTGGAAATGTCCATTTCCACATATTACACAAACAGTGTTTGAAACCTGCTGTATGAAAGGGAATGTTCAAGTCTATGAGTTGAATGCAAACATCACAAAAAAGTTTCTGAGAATGCTTTTGTCTTGATTTTATATGAAGATATTGCCGTTTCCAACGAAATTTTAAAAGCTCTTCAAATATACACTTGTAGCTTCTACAAAAAGAGTGTTACCAAACTGCTGTATGAAAACAAACGTTCAACTCTGTTAGTTGAGGACACCCATCACAAATACGTTTCTGAGAATGCTTCTGTGTAGTTTTTATTAGAAGACACTACCTTTCTCAACATAGTCCTGAAAGCGCTTGAAATGTCCACTTCCAGATACTACAAAAAGATCGTTTCAAACCTGCTCTATGAAATGGAGTGCTCATCTCTGGGACTTGAATGGAAATATCAGAAAGAAGTTTCTGAGAATGCTGCTATCTACTTTTTATATGTAATCCCGTTTGCAACGAAATCCTCAAATCTATCTAAATACGCACATTCAGATTCCAAAAAAAGAGTGTTTCACACATGCTCTATCAGTAGAATGGTTGAACACGGTTAGTTTAGTAGATACAGCTTAAATAAGTTTCTGAGATTGCTTCTATCTCTTTTTTATGGGAAGATACTTCCTTTTTTACCATAGGCCACAAATCTCTCCAAAAGTCCACTTCCAGATACTACAAAAAGTGTGTCTCAAACCTGCTCTATGAAAGGGAATGTTCAAATCTGTGACTTGAATGGAAACATCACAAAGAAGTTTCTGAAAATGCTGCTGTCTATATTTTATATGTAATCACGTTTCCAACGAAATCCTCAAAGCTATCCAAATATCCACTTGCAGATTCCACAAAAAGACTGTTTCAAAACAGATGTATCAAAAGAATGGTTCAAGTCTGTTAGTTGAGGACACACATCACAAGTTTCTGGGAATGCTTCTGTCTTGTTTTTATGGGAAGATATTCTCGTTTCCAATGAAATCGTCAAAGCCATCCAAGTATCCCCTTGCAGATACTACAAAAACAGTGTTTCAAAAGTGCTCCATAAAAAGAAAGTTTCATATCCGTTAGTTGAGGACAGACATCAGAAATAAGTTTCAGAGAATGCTTCTGTCTTGTTTTTATGGGAAGCTACTTCCTTTTTCACCGTAGGCCTGACAGTGTTGGAAATGTCCACTTCCAGATACTACAAAAAGAGTGTTTCAAACCTGCTCTATGAAAGGGAATGTTCAACTCTGTGACTTGAATGCAAACATCACAAAATTTTCTCAGAATGCTGCTGTCTACTTTTTATATGTAACCCCGTTTGCAACGAAATCCTCAAAGCTATCCAAATATCCACTTGCAGATTCTACAAAAAGAGTGTTTCAAAGGTCCTCTATCAAAAGAAAGGTTCAACTCTGTTTGTTGAGTACACACGTCACAAACATGATTCTGAGAATGCTTCTCTCTAGCTTTTATGGGAAGATATTTCCTTTTTCACCATAGGCTTCAAAGAGCTCGAAATGTCCACTTCGAGATACTACAAAAAGACTGTCTCAAACCTGCTGTATGAAAGGGAATGCTCAAATCTGTGACATGAAAGGAAACATCACAAAGAAGTTTCTAAGAATGCTGCTCTCTACTTTTTATATGTAATCCCGTTGCCAAGGACATCCTCAAAAGTATCCAAATATCCACTTGCAGATTCTCCAAAAAGAGTGTTTCAAAACTGCTGTATCAAAAGAAAGGTTCAAGTTTGTTAGCTGAGGACACACATCACAAATATGTTTCTGAGGATGCTTCCATCTTGTTTTTATGGGAAGATATTTCCTTTTCATCCATAGGCCTGATACCGTTGCAAATGTCCACTTCCAGACACTACAAAAAGAGTGTTTCCAACCTGTTCTATGAGAGGGAATGTTTAACTCTGTGACTTGAATGCAAACATCACAAAGAAGTTTCTGAGAATGCTGCTGTCTACTATTTATATGTAATCCCGTTTCCAACGAAATACTCAAATCTATCCAAATGTCCACATGCAGATTCCAAAAAAAGAGTGTTTCAAACCTGCTCTAAGAATAGAAAGGTTCAACACTGTTACGTGAGTAGATACAGCATAAACAAGTTTCTGAGATTGATTCTATCTCATTTTTATGGGAAGATAGTTCCTTTTCCAACATAGGCCTCAAAGCGCTCCAAATGTCGACGTCCAGAGACTACAAAAAGAGTGTCTCATACCTCCTCTATGAAAGGGAATGTTCAACTCTGTGACTTGAATGCTAACATAACAAAGAAGTTTCTGAGAATGCTCCTGTCTAGATTTTATAGGAAGATATTCCCGTTTACAATGAAATCGTCAAAGCTATCCCAATAACCACTTGCAGATACTACAAAAAGGGTGTTTCAATAGTGCTCTATAAAAAGAAAGGTTCAAGTCCGTTAGTTGAGGACACACATAAGAAATAAGTTTCTGAGAATGCTTCTCTCTTGTTTTTATGGGAAGATATTTCCTTTTTCACTGTAGGCCTGAAAGCGTTAGAAATGTCCACTTCCAGATACTACAAAAAGTGAGTTTCAAACCTGCTCTATGAAAGGGAATGTTCAACTCTGTGACTTGAATGCAAACATCACAAAAAGTTTCTCAGAATGCTGCTGTCTACCTTTTTTATTTAATCCCGTTTGCAACGAAATCCTCAATGCTATACAAATGTCCACTTGCAGATTCTACAAAAAGAGTGTTTCAAAACTGCTGTATCAAGACAAGTTCAAGTGTGTTAGTTGAAGACACACATCACAAATATGTTTCTGAGAATGCTTCTGTCTTGTTTACATGAGAAGATATTTCCTTTTTAACCATAGGCCTGAAAGCGTTCGAAGTGTCCACTTCCAGATACTAAAAAAAGATTGTTTCAAACCTGCTCTATGACAGGGAATGTTCAACTCTGTGACTTGAATGCAAACATCACAAAGAAGTTTCTGAGAATGCTTCTGTGTAGATTTTATAGGAAGATATTCCCGTTTCCAACGAAATCGTCAAAGCCATCCAACTATCCACTTGCAGATAGTACAAAAAGAGTGTTTCAAAAGTGCTCTATAAAAAGAAAGGTTCAAGTCCGTTAGTTGAGGACACACATCACAAATAAGTTTCTGAGAATGCTTCTGTCTTGTTTTTATGGGAAGATATATCCTTTTTCTCCGTAGGCCTGAAAGCGTTGGAAATGTCCACTTCCAGATACTACAAAAAGAGTGTTTCAAACCTGCTCTATGAAAGGGAATGTTCAACTCTGTGACTTGAATGCAAACATCACAAAGAAGTTTCTGAGAATGCTGCAGTCTACTTTTTATAAGTAATCCCTTTTCCAACGAAATCCTCAATTCTATCCAAGTATGCACCTGCAGATTCCAAAAAAAGAGTGTTTCACACCTGCTCTATCAATAGAAAGTTTGCACACTGTTCGTTGAGTAGATACAGCATAAACAAGTTTCTGAGATTGCTTCTATGTTGTTTTTATGGGAGGGTACTTCCTTTTTTACCGTAGGCCACAAAGCGCTCCAAATGTCCACTTCCAGATACTACAAAAAGAGTGTATCAAACCTGCTCTATGAAAGGGTATGTTCAACTCTGTGACTTGAATGCAAACATCACAAAAAGTTTCTGAGAATTCTACTGTCTACTTTTTATATGTAATCCAGTTTCCAACGAAATCCTCAAAGCTGTCCAAATGTCCACTTGCAGATTCTACAAAAAGAGTGTTTCAAAACTGCTGTATTAAAAGGCAGGTTCAAGTCTGTTAGTTGAGGACACACATCACAAATAAATTTCTGAGAATGCTTCTGTCTTGTTTATATGAGAAGATATTTCGTTTTTAACCATAGGCCTGAAAGCGTTCGAAGTGTCCACTTCCAGATACTACAAAAAGATTGTTTCAAACCTGCTCTATGACAGGGAATGTTCAACTCTGTGACTTGAATGCAAACATCACAAGAAGTTTCTGAGAATGCTGCTGTCTACTTTTTATATGTAATCCCGTTTGCAACGAAATCCTCAAAACTATCCAAATGTCCACTTGCAGATTCTAGAAAAAGAGTGTTTGAAAACTGCTGTATCAAGACAGTTTCAAGTCTGTTAGTTTAGGACACACATCACAAATAAGTTTCTGAGAATGCTTCTGTCTTCTTTATATGAGAAGATGTTTCCTTTTTAACCATAGGCCTGAAAGCGTTCGAAGTGTCCACTTCCAGATACTACAAAAAGATTGTTTCAAACCTGCTCTATGACAGGGAATGTTCAACTCTGTGTCTTTTATGCAAACATCACAAAGAAGTTTCTCAGAATGCTTCTGTCTAGATTTTATAGGAAGATATTCCCGTTTCCAACGAAATCCTCAAAGCCATCCAAATATCCACTTGCAGATACTACAAAAAGAGTGTTTCAAAAGTGCTCTATAAAAAGAAAGGTTCATGTCCGTTAAGTGAGGACAGATATCAGAAATAAGTTTCTGAGAGTGCTTCTGTCTTGTTTTTATGGGAAGATATTTCCTTTTTAACCATAGGCCTGATACCGTTCCAAATGTCCACTTCCAGATACTACAAAAAGAGTATTTCAAACCTGCCCTATGAAAGGGAATGTTCAACTGTCTGATGTGAAGGCAAACATCCCAAAGATGTTTCTGAGAATGCTTCTGTCTAGAATTTATATGAAGATATTCGCGTTTCCACCGAATTCCTCAAAGCTATCCAAATATCCACTTGCAGATTCTAGAATAAGTGTGTTTCAAAACTGCTCTATGAAAAGAAAGGTTCAACTCTGATAGTTGAGTACACACATCACAAAGTAGTTTCTGAGAATATTTCTGTCTAGTTTTTATGGGAAGATATTTCCTTTTTCAATAAAGGCCACAGTGCGCTCGAAATGTCCAGTTCCAGATACCACAAAATCAGTTTTTCAAACCTGCTCCAGAAAAGGGAATATTCACCCCTGTGACTTGAATGCAAACATCACAGATATGTTTCTGAGAATGCTTCTTTCTAGATTTTGTATTAGGATATTCCCGTTTCCAACGAAATCCTCAAAGCTATCCAAATACCCACTTGCAGATTCTCCAAAAAGAGTGTTTCAAAACTGCTCTATCAAAAGAAAGGTTCACCTCTGTTAGTTGAGTACACATATCACAGACAAGTTTGTGAGAATGCTTCTGTCTAGTTTTTATGCGAAGATATTTCCTTTTACACCATAGGCCTCAAAGTGATCCAAATGTCCACTTCCAGATACTACAAAAAGAGTGTTTCAAACCTGCTCTATGAAAGGGAATGTTCAAATCTGTGACTTGATTGCAAACATCACAAAGATGTTTCTGATAATGCTTCTGTCTAGATTTTATATAAACATATTCCCGTTTCCGATGAAATACTCAAAGCTATCCAAATATCCTCTTGTAGATTCTACCAAAAGATTGTTTCAAACTGTTCTATCAAAAGAAAGGTTCAACTCTGTTAGTTGAGTACACACATCACAAACAAGTTTATGAGAATGGTTCTGTCTAGTTTTTATGCCAAGGTACTTTCTTTTTCACCACAGACCTCAAAGCGATCCAAATGTCCACTTCCAGATATTACAAAAAGAGTGTTTCAAACCTGCTCTAAGAAAGGGAATGTTCAACACTGTTACTTGAATGCAAACATCCGAAAGATGTTTCTGAGAATGCTTCTGTGTAGATTTTACCTGAAGATATTCCTGTTTGCAACGAAATCCTCAAAGGTATCCAAATATCCACTTGCAGATTCTACAAAAAGAGTGTTTCAAAACTACTCTATCAAAAGAAAGTTTCAACTGTGTTAGTTGAGTACACACATCACAAACTAGTTTCTGAGAATGTTTCTGTCAATTTTTATGGGAAGATATTTCCTTTTTCAATATAGGCCACAATGCACATGAAATGTCCAGTTCCAGATACTACAAAATCAGTGTTTCAAAGCTGTTACAGTAAAGAGAAAGTTCAACTATGTGTCTTGAATGCAAACATCACAGAGATGTTTCTGAGAATGCTTCTGTCTAGATTTTATATGAAGATATTTCCGTTTCCAACGAAACCGTCAAAGCTATCAAAATATCCACTTGCAGATTCTACAAAAAGAGTGTTTCAAAACTGCTCTATCAAAAGAAAGGTTCAACTCTGTTAGTTGAGTACACACATCACAAACAGGTTTATGAGAATGCTTCTGTCTAGTTTTTATGCGAAGATATTTCCTTTTTCACCATGAGCCTCAAAGCGATCAAAATGTCCACTTCCAGATACCACAAAAAGAGTGTTTCAAACTTGCTCTATGAAAGGGAATGTTCAACTCTCTGATGTGAAGGCAAGCATCCCAAAGATGTTTCTGAGAATGCTTCTGTCTAGATTTTATATGAAGATACTCGTGTTTCCACCGAAATCCTCAAAAGTATCCAAATATCCACTTTCAGATTCTACAAAAAGTGTGTTTCAAAACTGCTCTATCAAAAGAAAGGTTGAACTCTGATAGTTGAGTACACACTTCAGAAACAGGTTTATCAGAATGCTTCTGTCTAGTTTTTATGCGAAGATATTTCCTTTTACACCGTAGGCCTCAAAGCGATCCAATTGTCCACTTCCACATACCACAAAAAGAGGGTTTGAAACCTGCTCTAATAAAGGGAATGTTCAACTCTGTGTCTTGAATGCAAACATCCCATAGATGTTTGTGGGAGTGCTTCTGTCTAGTTTTATGGGAAGATATTTCCTTTTTCAATAAAGGCCACAATGTGTTCGAAATGTCTAGTTCGAGATAGCCCAAAAAGAGGCTTTCAAACCTGCTCTATGAAAGGGAATGTTCAACTCTGTGACTTGAATGCAAACATCCCAAAGATGTTTCTGAGAATGCTTCTGTCTAGATTTTTATATGAAGATATTTTCGTTACTAATGATACCCTCAAATCTATCCAAATATCCACTTGCAGATTCTACAAAAAGAGTGTTTCAACACTGCACTATCAAAAGAAAGGTACAACCTTGTTAGTTGACTACCCACATCACAAACAAGTTTATGAGAATGCTTCTGTCTAGTTTTTATGGTAAGATATTTCCTTTTTCACCATGGGCCCCAAATCAATACAAATATCCACTTCCAGATATTAAAAAAAGAGTGTTTGAAACATGCTCTATGAAAGGGAAAGTTCAACTCTGGGACTTGAATGCAGACATCACAGAGATTTTTCTGAGAATGCTTGTGTCTAGATTTTATATGAAGATATTCCATTTCCAACGAAATCCTCAAAGCTGACCAAATATCCTCTTGCAGATTCTACAAAAAGAGTGTTTCAAAACTGCTCTATCAGAAGAGAGGTTCAATTCTGTTAGTTGAGTACACACAGCACAAACTAGATTCTGAGAATGCTTCTCTGTAGTTTTTATGTTAAGATATTTCCTTTTTCACTACAGGCCTCAAAGCGTTCCAAACGCCCAGTTCGAGATACTGCAACATCAGTGTCTCAAACCTGCTCTATGAAAGCAAATGTTCAACTCTGTGACTTGAATGCAAACATCACAAAGAAGTTTCTGATATTGCTTCTGTCTAGATTTTATATGAAGTTATTCCCGTTTCCAATGAATTCCGCAGAGCTATCCAAATATCCACTGGCAGATACTGCAAAAAGAGTGTTTCAAAACTGCTCTATCAAAAGAAAGCTTCAACTCTGTTAGTTGAGAACACACATCTCAAAGTAGTTTCTGAGAATGCTTCTGTATAGTTTTTATGCGAAGATATTTCCTTTTTCACCATAGGCCTCAAAGCGATCAAAATGTCCACTTCCAGATACAGCGAAAAGAGTGTTTCAAACCTGTTCAATGAAAGGGAATGTTCAACTCTGAGACTTGAATGCAAACATTCCAAAGATGTTTCTGAGAATGATTCTGTCTTGGTTTCATATGAATATGTTCCATTTAAAACGAAATCCTCAAAGATATCCAAATATCCAATAGCAGATTCTACAAAGGGAGTGTTTCCAAACTGCTCTATCAAAAGAAAGGTTCAACCCTGTTAGTTGACTACACACATCACAAATTAGTTTCTGAGAATGCTTCTGTGTAGTTTTTATGGGAAGATATTTCCTTTTTCACCATAGTCAAAAAAGCATTACAATGTCCAGTTCCAGATACAACAAAATCATTGTTTCAAACCTGCTCTATGAAAGGGAATGTTCAACTCTGAGACTTGAATGCAAGCATCCCAAAGATATTTCTGATAATGCTTCTGTATAGATTTTATAAGAAGATATTCCCGTTTCCAACGAAATACTCAAAGCTATCCAAATATCCACTTGCTGATTCTAGAAAAAGAGTGTTTCAAAACTGCTCTATCAAAAGAAAAGTTCTACTCTGTTAGTTGAGTACACACATCACAAACTGGTTTCTTAGAATGCTTCTGTGTAGTTTTTATGGGAAGATATTTCCTTTTTTACCATAGGCCACAAAGCACTCCAAATGTCCAGTTCCACATACTACAAAATCATTGTTTCAAACCTGCCCTATTAAAGGGAATGTTCAACAGTGTGAGTTGAATGCAATCAGCACATTCTGAGAATGCTTCTCTCTAGATTTTATATGAAGGTATTCCTGTTTCCAACAAAATCCTCAAAGCTATAAAATATACTCTTACAGATTCTACGAAAAGGGAGTTTCAAATCTGCTCTATCAAAAGAAAGGTTCGACTCAGTTAGTTGAGTGGACACATCACGAACTAGTTTCTGAGAATGCTTCTTTCTAGTTTTTATGGGAAGATATTTCCTTTTTCACCTTAGGCCACAATGCGCTCAAATGTCCACTTCCACATAAGACAAAATCAGTGTTTCAAACCTGCTCTATGAAACGGAATGTTCAACTGTGTGACTTGAATGCAATCATCACAGAGATGTTTCTGAGAATGATTCTGTCTAGATTTTATATGAAGATATTCCCGTTTCCAACGAAATCCTCAAAGCTATCCTAATATGCACTTGCAGATTCTACAAAAAGAGTGTTTCAAAACTGCTCTATCAAAAGAAAGCTTGAACTCTGTTGAGTACACACATCACAAAGAAGTTTATGAGAATGCTTCTGTCTAGTTTTTATGCGAAGATATTTACATTTTTAACCGTAGTCCTCAAATCGATCAAATTGTCCATTCCAGATATTACAAAAAGAGTGTTTCAAACCTGCTCTATGAAAGAGAATGTACAACTCTGTGACTTGAGTGCAAACATCCCAAAGTTGATTCTGAGAATACTTCTTTCTAGATTTTATATGAAGATATTCCCGTTTCCAACGACATACCCAAAGCTATCCAAATATCTACTTGCAGATTCTACAAAAAGTGTGTTTCAAAACTGTTCTATCAAAAGAAAGGTTCAACTTTGTTACATGAGTACACATAACCCAAAGAAGTTTATGAGAATGATTCTGTCTAGTTTTTATGCGAAGATATTTCCTGTTTCACCATAGGCCACAAAGCGATCCAAATGTCCACTTCCAGATATTACAAAAATACTTTTTCAAACCTTCTCTATGAAAGGGAATGTTCAACTGTGAGACTTGAATGCAAACAGCCCAAAGATGTTTCTGAGAATGCTTCTGTCTAGATTTTATTTGAAGATATTCCCCTTTTGAACGAAATCCTCAAACTATCCAAATATCCATTTGCAGATTCTACAATAAGAGTGTTTCAAAACTGCTTTGTGAAAAGAAAGGTTCAACTGCGTTAGTTGAGTACACTCATCACATACCTGTTTCTGAGAATGCTTCTGTGTAGTTTTTATGGGAAAATATTTCCTTTTTCACCATAGGCCAAAAATCGCTCCAAATATCCAGGTCCAGATACTACAATAATCAATGTTTCAAACCTCCTCTATGAAAGTGAATGTTCACCTCTGTGACTAGAATGCAAACATCACAGAGATGTTTCCGAGTATGCTTCTGTCTAGATTTTATATGAAGATATTCCAGTTTCCAATGAAATCCTCAAAGCTATCCAAATATCCACTTGCACATTCTACAAAAAGAGTGTTTCAAAACTGCTCTAATAAAAGAAAGGTTCATCTCTGTTAGTTGAGTACAGACATCACAAACTAGTTTCTGGGAATGCTTCTGTCTAGTTTTTATGGGAAGATATTTCCTTTTTCAATACAGGCTACAAAGCGCTACAAATGTCCAGTTCCAGATACTACAATATCAGTGTTTCTAACCTGCTCTATGAGAGGGAACGTTCAACTCTGTGACTTGAATGCAATCATCACATTCTGAGAATGCTTGTCTAAATTTTATATGAAGATATTCCCGTTTCCAACGAAATCCTCAAAGCTATCCAATTATCCACTTGCAGATTCTACAAAAAGAGTGTTTCAAAATTGCTCTATCAAAAGAAAGGTTCAACTCTGTTAGTTGAGTATACACATCACAAACTCGTTTCTGAGAATGCTTCTGTCTAGCTTTTATGGGAAGATATGTCCTTTTTCACCATAGGCCTCTAAGTGACTCAAATGTCCACTTCCACATACCACAAAAAGAGTGTTTCAAACCTGCTCTATGAGAGAGAATGTTCAACTCTCTGACTGGAATGCAAACATCCAAAAGATGTTTCTGAGAATGCTTCTGTCCAGATTTTATAGGAAGATATTCCCGTTTTTAACGAAATCCACAAAGCTGTGCAAATATCCACTTGCAGATTCTACAAAGAGAGTGTTTCAAAACTGCTCTATCAAAACAAAAGTTCAACTCTCTTAGTTGAGTACACAGATCACCAACTGGTTTCTGAGAATGCTTCTGCCTAGTTTTTATGGGAAGATATTTCCTTCTTCACCATACGCCACCAGGGTGTCCAAATGTCCATTTTGAGATACGACAAAATCATTGTTTCATACCTGCTCTATGAAACGGAATTTTCAACTCTCTGACTGGAATGCAAACATCCAAAAGATGTTTCTGAGAATGCTTCCATCCAGATTTTATAAGAAAATATTCCCATTTCCAACGAAATCCACAAAGCTGTCCAAATATCCACTTGCAGATTCTACAAAAAGGCTGTTTCAAAACTGCTCTATCAAAAGAAAAGCTTGTCTCTGTTAGTTGAGTACACATATCGCAAAGTAGTTTCTGAGAATGCTTCTGTGTAATATTTATGGGAAGATATTTCTTTTTTCACCATAGGCCACAAAGCGTTCTAAATGTCCAGTTCCAGATACTACAAAATCAGTGTTTCAAACCTGCTCTATGAAAGGGTGTGTTCAACTCTGTGACTTGACTGCAAACATCCCAAAGTAGTTTCTGATAATTCTTCTGTCTAGATATTATATGAAGATGTTCCCGTTTCCTACGAAACCCTCAAAGCTATCCAAATATCCACTTGCAAATTCTACAAAAAGTGTGTTTCAAAGCTGCTCTAACAAAAGAAAGGTTCAACTCTGTTAGTTGAGTACACACATCCTAAACAAGTTTCTGATAATGCTTCTGTCTAGTTTTTAATGGGAAGTTATTTCCTTTTTCACCATATGCCACAAAGCACTCCAAATGTCCAGTTCCACATACTACAAAAGCAGTGTTCCAAACCTGTTCTATGAAAGGGAATGTTCAACTCTGTGACTTGAATGCAAACATCACAAAGAAGTTTCTCTTAATGCTTCTGTCTAGATTTTATATGAAGATATTTCCGTTTCCAACGAAATCCTCAAATCTATCCAAATATCCACTTGTAGATTCTACAAAAAGAGTGTTTCAAAACTGCTCTATCAAAAGAAATTATCAACTCCGTTAGTTGAGTACACACATCACAAAATAGTTTCTCAGAATGCTTCTGTCTAGTTTCTATGGGAAGATAATCCCTTTTTCACCATAGGCCACAATGCGCCCCAAATGTGCCATTCCAGATACTACAAAATAAGTGTTTCAGACCTGCTCTATGAAAGGGAATGTTCAACGTTGTGACTTGAATGCAAACATCGCGAAGATGTTTCTGAGAATGCTTCTGTCTTGATTTTATATGAAGATATTCCCTTTTCCAACAAATTCCGCTAAGCTATCCAAATATCCACTTGCAGAATCCACAAAAAGAGTGTTTCAACATTGCTTTATCAAAAGAAAGGTTCAACTCTGTTAGTTGACTACACTCATCACTAACAAGTTTCTGAGAATGCTTCTGTCTAATTTTTATGGGAAGATATTTCCTTTTTCACTAAAGGCTTCAAAGCGATCAAAATGTCCACTTCCAGATGCTATAAAAAGACTGTTTCAAACATGCTGTATGAAAAGGAATGTTCAACTCTGTGACTTGAATGCAAGCATCCCAAAGATGTTTCTGAGAATCCTTCTGTCTAGATTTTATATGAAGATATTCCCGTTTCCAATGAAATCCTCAAAGCTCTCGAAATATCCACTTGTAGATTCTACAAAAAGAGTGTTTCTAAACTGGTCTATCAAAAGAAAATTTCAACTCTGTTAATTTAGTACACAATCAAAAACTAGTTTCGAATGGAGACGAATGGAAACATCATTGAATGGAGTCAAATGGAATCATCATTGAATGGAGTCCAATCGAATCATCAATGAAAGGAATCGAATGAAATCATCATCAAATTGAATCAAATGGAATCATCAACGAGTGGAAACGAATGGAGTCATCGAATGGAATCGAATGGTGTCATTGAATGGACATGAAAGGAATCATCGAATGGAATCGAATGGAATCACCATCTAATGTAATGTTATGGAATCATCGAATGTACTCAAAAAGAATCATCATCAAATGAAATCGAATGTAATCATTGAATGGAATTCAATGGAATCATCATCAAATGGAATCGAATGGAATCATCGAATGGAATCTAATGGAATCATCAATGAATGGAATCGAATGGAATCATCTAATGGACGCGAACAGAATCATCTTTGAAAGCAATGAAATGTAATCATCCAATGGACACGAATGGAATCATCATTGAATGGAATCGAATGGAATCATCATCGAATGGAATCGAATGGAATCATCAAATGGAATAGAATGGAGTCATCATTGAATGTAATCGAATGTAACATTGAATGGCATCAAATGGAATCATAGACTGGAAGAGAATGGAATCATCATCAAATGGAAATGAATAGAATCACCGAATGAAATCGAATGGAATCATCATCGAATGGAGTCGAATGGAATCATATTCGAATGGAATCGATTGGAATCATTGAGTAGGCACGAATGGAATCATCATTGAATGGAATCGAATGGAATCATCAAATGGACTCGATTGGAAACAACATCAAATGGAATTGAATCTAATCATTGAATGGCATCGAGTGGAATCATCACTGAATGGAATCTAAGGGAATCATCAAATGGACTAGAATGGAATCATTGAATGGACTCGAGTGGATTCATCATCCAATGGAATCAAATGTAATCATTGAATGGGCTCGAATGGAAACATCATTGAATGGAATCAAATGGAATCAACGAGTGGACTCGAATAGAATCATCATCGAATGGATGGAATCGAATGGAATCAATGAATGGACTCGAATGGAGTCATCATCGAATGGAATCAAATGGAATCCCCTAATCGACCTGAAAGGAATCGTCATTGAATTTAATCGAATGGAATCATCGAATGGACTCGAATGGAATCATCATCGAATATAATTGGAAACAGTCATCAAATGGATTCAAATGGAATCATCGAATGGTCTCAAATGGAATCATCATCGAATGAAATAAAATGGAATCATCCAATGGACTCAAATGGAATCGTCATTGAATGGAATCAAATGTAATCATCTAATGGAATCGAATGGAATTATCATTGAATGAAATCTAATGGAATCATCAAATGACACGAATGGAATCATCATAGAATAGAATTGAATGGAATCATTGAATGGACTCAAATGGAATCATCATCAAATGGAATAGAATGCAATCATCAAATAGAATCAAATGTAATTGTCATCGAATGAAATCGCATTGAATTATTGAATGAGCTCAAATGGAATCATCATCGCATGGAATCGAATGGAATAGTCATCGAATGGACACGAATGGAATCATTATCAAGTGGAATCGAATGGAATCATCATCAAATGGAATCAAATAGACTCATCATCAAATGAAAGCAAATGGAATTAGCAAATGGAATAGAACAGAATCACCTTCAAATGGAAAAAAATAGAATCATCAAATGAAATCAAATGGAATAATCATCAAATGGAATCAAATGGAATCATCATCAAATTTAATCGAATAGACTCATTATCAAATGGAATGTAATGGAATCATCGAATGACTCAAATGGAATCATCATTGAATGGAATGAAATGGAATCATAGAGTGGAATCTAATGGAATCATCATCGAATGGAACCAAATGGAATCACCATCAAATGTAACCGAAAGGAGTAATCATCAAATGGAATCAAATGGACTCATGATCGAATGGAATCGAATGGAATCATCATTGAATGGAATCGAATTGTATCACCAAATTCAATCGAATGGAATGATCATCAGATGGAATCGAAAGGAATCATCGAATGGGATGGAATGGAATCATCGAATGGGATGAAATGGAATCATCAAAGGGAATTGAATGGAATCATTGAATGGACTCGAATGGAATCATCATCAAATGGACTCTAATGGAATCATCATCGAATGGACTCTAATGGAATCATCATCGAATGGAATTGAATGGAATCATCATTGAATGAAATCAAATGGAGTCATCATCAAATGCAATCAAAGGGAATCATCATTGAAAGGAATCGAATGGAATCATGGTATGGAATTGAATGAAATCATCATTGAATGGAATCGAATGGAATCATGGAAAGGAATTGAATGGAATCACCACTGAATGGAATCGAATGGAATAATCATCTAATGGAATTCAGTGGAATCATCGAATGGACTCGAATGGAATCATCATCAAATGGAACCAAATGGAATCATTAATGAGAGTAATCAAAAGGAGTCATCATCGAATGGAATCGAATGGTAACATCGAATGGACATGAATTGAATCATCATCGAATGCAATCGAATGGAATCATCGAATGGACTCGAATGGAATCATCGAATACACTTTAATGGAATCATCCTCGAATGGAATCAAATAGAATCATCATCGAATGGAATCAAATGGAATAATCATTGAGTGGACTCGAACAGAATCAGCATCAAATGGAATGCAATGGAATCATTGAATGGACTTGAATGGAATCATCTAGGAATGGAATCGAATGGAATCATTGAATGGAATCAAATGGATTCATCGAATGGACTCTAATGGAATCATCCTCGAATGGAATCGAATAGAATCATCATCAAATGGAACGAATGGAATCATCATTGAATGGAATCGAATGGAATAATCATCCAATGGAATCGAATGGAAACATCAACGACTGAAATCGAATGGAATCATTGAATAGAATTGAATGGAATCAACGAATGGAAGTGAACGGACTCATCTTCGAATGGAATCGAATGGAATCATTGAATGGAATTGAATGGAATCACAATTGAATGGAATTGAATTAAATCATCATTGAAAGAATTGAATGGAATCATCAAATGGGCTCGAACTGATTCATCATTAAATAGAATCCAATGGAAACATTGAAAATTGTTGAGTGGAATCATCATTGAATGGAATCGAATGGAAACATCGAATGGACTCGAATGGAATTGACATTGAATAGAATCGAATGGAATCATCGAATGGATTCGAATGGAATCATCATTGAATGGAATCGAATGGAATCATTGAATGGACTCAAATGGAATCATCATCGACTGGAATCGAATGGAATCATCATCAAATGGACTCTGGTGGAATCATCATCAAGTGGAATCATCATCGAATGTAATTGAATGGAAACATCATTGAATGGAAATGAATGGAATCATCATCAAATGCAATCGAATGGAATCATCATCCAATGGAATCAGAATGAATCATCATCCAATGGAATCCAATGGAATCATCGATTGGAAATGAAGGGAATCATCATCGAATGGAATCGAATGTTATCATCATCGAATGGATTCGAATGGAATCATTTTATGGACTCTAAGACAGTCATCATCAATGGAATCGAATGGAATAATCATAAAATAGAAGGGAATAGAATCATCAAAAGAAATCGAATGGAATTATCTTCGAATGGAATCGAATGGAATCATCATCGAATGAAATCATCGTCAAATGGAATCAAATGAAATCATCATTGAATGGAATCAAATGAAATCATCCACGAATGGAATCGAACGGAACCATCGAATGGAAACTAATGGAATCATCATCCAATGGAACCAAATGCAATCATCATCAAATGAAACCTAATGGAATCATCATCGAAAGGAATTGAACGGAATCCGTGAATGGAATCAAAGGGAATCATCATCAAAAGTAATTGAAGTGAAGCATCGAATGGAATTGATTTGAATCATCAAATAGAATTGAATGGAATCATCATTGAATGGACTCGAATTGAATCATAATGGGATGGAATCGAATGGAATCATCAAATAGTCTCAAATGGAATGATTGATTGGACTAGAATGGAATCATCATTGAATGGATATGAATGGAATCATCATCGAATGGAATCAATTGGAATTGAATGGAATCATTGAATGGACTCGAAAGGAATCATCATCGAATGGAATCGAATGGAATCATCATCGAATGGAATGAATGGAATCATCATCGAATGGAATCAAATGGAATCATCGAATGGAATTGAATGGAATCATCATCATATGGAACCGAATGGAATCATTATCAAATAGAACAAAATGGAGTCATCATCGAATGGAATCGAATGGAATTATAGAAAGGGAACGAACGGAATCATCGAAGGGAATTGAATGGAATCATCAAACAGATTCGTATGGAATCATCATCGAATGGAATTGAATGGAATCATGGAATGGACATGAATGGAATCATCCTCAAGTGGAATCAAATGGAATCATCGAATGGGCACAAGTGGAATCATCCCTGAATGGAATTGAATGGAATCATCAAATGGCATCAAATCTAATCATCACCAAATGGAATCTAATGGAATTATAGAATGAACAATAATGGAATCATCGAATGGACTTAAGTGGAATCACCATCAAATGGAATCATTGTATGGACGTGAATGAAATCATCCTCGAATGGAATCAAATGGAGTCATAATCAAATGGAATCGAATGGATTCATCATCGATTGGAATAGAATGGTATCACCAAATTGATTCAAACGGAATGATCATCGAATGGAATCGAAGGGAATCATCTAATGGGATTGAACGGAGTCATCTAATGGAATCGAGTGGAATCATTGAGTGGATTCGAATGGAATCATCATTGAATGGAATCGAATGGAATCATCGAATGGACTCGAATGGAATCATCATTGAATGGAAGCGAATGGAATCATTGAATGGCATCGAATGGAACCAGCATCAAATGGAATCTAATGGATTAATGGAATGGACTTGAATGGAATCATCGAATGGACTCGAGAGGAATCGCCATCGAATGGAATCGAATAGAATCATTGAATGGACTCCAATGGAATCATCATCGAATGGAATAGAAATGAATCATTGAATGAAGTCGAATGGAATCATCATGGAGTGGAATCAAATGGAATCATCGAATGGAGTCGAATGGAATCATCATTGAATGGAACCAAATGGAATCATTGAATGGACCCAAATGGAATCGTCATTGAATGGAATAGAATGGAATATTCGAATGGACAAGAAAGGAATCACCATCAAATGCAATCGAATGGAATCATCATCGAATGGAATCAAATGGAATCATCATTGAATGGAATCGAAAGGAATCATCAAATAAAATAGAATTGAATCATCATCGAATGGAATTGAATAGAAACATCAAATGAAATCGAATGGAATCATCATCGAATGGAATCGAATGGAATCATCATCTAATGATATTGAATGGAATCATCATCGAATGGAATCGAATGGAATCATCATCGAATGGAATCATCAATGAATGGAATCGAATGGAATCATCAAATGGAATCTAATGGAATCTTCATCGTATGGAACTGAGTGGAATCATCATCAAATGGAACCAAATGGAATCATCATCGAATGGAATCAAAGAGAATCATCAATGAATGGAATGGAATCATCAAATGGAATCTAATGGAATCATCATCATATCGAACCTAATGGAGTCAGCATCGAATGGAATCAAATGGAATCAGCATCGAATGGAATCTAATGGAATCATCATCGAATGGTTGAGAATGCAATCAGCATCGAATGCAATCAAATGGAATCATCGAATGGAATAGAATGGAATGACCATCGGAGGGAATCGATGGGAATCATCAAATGGAATTGAACGGTATGATTGAATGGATTTGTATGGAATCGTCCAATGGACACTAATGGAATCATCATCAAATGGAATCGAATGGAATCATCAAATGGAATCGAATGGAAACAACATTGAATGGAAGCGAATTGAATCATCGAATGGAATCCAACGGAATCATCCTCGAATGGAATCACATAGAATCATTGAATGGAATCAAATGGAATCCTCATTGAATGGAATAGAATGGAATCATAGACTGTTATGGAATGGAATCATCATCAAATGGAATCAAATGGAATCATCATAGAATGGAATCAAAAGCAAACATCAAATGGATTCAAACAGAATCATTGAATGGACACGAATGGAATCATTATCCAATGGAATGGAATGGAACCAATGAATGGAATCAAATGGAATCATCATCGAATTGAATTGATTGGAAGCATCTAATGTAATGGAATGGACTCTTCATTGAATGGAATTGAATGTAATAATCGAATGGACACTAATGGAATCCTCATCGAATGGAAGGGCATGGAATCATCGAATGGAGTCAAATTTAATCATCATCGAATGTAATCAAATGGAATAATTGTGGAATGGACTCGAAAGGAATCATCGAATGGACATGAATGGAATCATCGAATGGATTCAAAAGAAATCATCATCAATGGAATCGAATGGAATGAAAATCTTATGGAATCAAAAGGAATCATCATCGAAAGGAATCGAATGGAATCATCATTGAATGGAATTGAAAGGAATCAGTGAATGGAATCGAATGGAATCATCATCAAAAGTAATTGAAGTGAATCATCGAATGGAATCAATTTGAATCATCAAATAGAATTGAAAGGAATCATTGCATGGACTCGAATCATAATGGGATGGAATCGAATGGAATCATCGAACAGACTCAAATGGAATGATCAATTGGACTCGAATGGAACCATCATCGAATGGATATGAATGGAATCATCATCAAATGGAATCAAATGGAATCATCAATGAATGGAAGCGAATGCAATCTTCATCGAATGAAATCGGATGGAATCATTGAATGGCATGGAATGGAATCATCACCGAATGGAGTCAAATGGAATCATTGAAAGGACACGAAATGGAATCATCTTCAAATGGAATTGAATGGAATCATTGAATGGACTCTAATGGAATCATCATCGAATGGAATCGAATGGAATCATCATCGAATGGAATGAATGGAATCATCATCGAATGGAATTGAATAGATTCATCATCAAATGGAATAGAATGGTATCACCGAATTGATTCAAATGGAATGATCATCGAATGGAATCAAAGGGAATCATCTAATGGGATTGAATGGAGTCATTGAATGGAATCGAGTGGAATCATCGAGTGGATTTGAATAGAATCATCATTGAATGGAAGCGAATGGAATCATTGAATGGCATCGAATGGAATCATCATCAAATGGAATCTAATGGATTAATCAAAAGGGCTCGAATGGAATCATCGAATGGACTTGAGCGGAATCATCATCGAATGGAATCAAATATAATCATTGAATGGACTCCAATGGAATCATCATCGAATGGAATCTAATGGAATCATCGAATGGAGTCGAATGGAATCATCATCGAATGGAATCGAATGGAATCATCGAATGGACTCCAATGGAATCATCATCGAATGGAATAGAATGGAATATTCGAATGGACTAGAAAGGAATCACCATCGAATGCAATCGAATGGAATCATCATCGAATGTAATTGAATGGAATCATCATCGAATGGAATCAAAAGGAATCATCAAATAAAATAGAATTAAATCATCATCGAATGGAATCGAATAGAAACATCGAATGAAATCAAATGGAATCATCATCGAATGGAATCAAATAGAAATATCGAATGAAATCGAATGGAATCATCATCGAATGGAATTGAATGGAATCATCACTGAATGACATTGAATGGAATCATCACTGAATGGAATCGAATGGAATCATCAACGAATGGAATCCAATGCAATCATCATCCAAGGGAACCGAATGGAATCATCAGATGGACTCAAACGGAATCATCGAATGGGATAGAATGGAATCATCATCGAGTGGAATCCAAAGGAATCATCGAATGGACTTGAATGGAAACATCTAATGGACTCGAATGGAATCATTATCGAATGGAATTGAATTGAATCATCGAATGGACCCGAATGGAATCAGCAACGAATGGAATCAAATGGAATCATTGAATGGAATCTAATGCAATCATCATTGAAAGGAATCGAATGGAATCATTATCGAATGGAATTGAACGCAATCATCATCGGATGGAATCGAATGGAATCATCATCAAATGGAATCAAATGGAATCATCATCGAATGGAATCGAATGGAATCAAATGGAATCATCATCGAATGGAATCTAATGGTATCATCACCCAATGGAATCGAATGGAATAATCAATGAATGGAATTGAATGGAGTCATCGAATGGAATCGGTTGTATTCATCATCGAATGGAACCGAATGCAGTCATCATTGAATGGAATCGAATGGAATCATCAAACGGACTAGAATGCAATCCTCAAATGGACTCGAATAGAATCATCATCAAATGGAATTGAATGGAATCATCAAAGGGACTCGAATGGAATTATCATAGAATGGAATTGAATGGAATCATTGAATGGACTCGAATGGAATCATCATCGAATGGAATCGAATGGAATCATTGAATGGACTTGAATGGAATCATAGAATTGACTCGAATGGAATCATCGAATTGACTCGAATGGAATCATCATCGAATGGACACGAATGGAATCATCATCAAATGGAATCTGATGGTATCATCAAATAGAATTGAATGGAATCATCATCGACTGGAATTGAATGGAACAATTGAATGGACTCGAGTGGAATCATTGGAGAATGGAGTCAAATGGAATTATCAAATGGACTCGAATGGTATCAATGTTGAATGGAATCAAAGGGAATCATAGAATGGAATAGAATGCAATCATCATCAAATGGAATCAAATGGAATTATCGAATGGAATCATCGAATAGAATCAGATTGAATCATTGAATGGACTCGAATAGAATCATCATTGAATGGAATCGAATGGAATCATCGAAGGGACTCGGATGGAATTATCATAGAATGGAATTGAATGGAATCATTGAATGGACTCAAATGGAATCATCATCGAATGGACATGAATGGAATCATCATCGAATGGACTCGAATGGAATCAGCATCGAATGGACTCCAGTGGAATCATCATCAAATGGAATCCAATGGAATCATCGAATGGAATTGAATGGATTCATCATCGACTGGAATTGAATGGAACAATTGAATGGACTCGAGTGGAATCATTGGAGAATGGAGTCGAATGGAATTATCAAATGGACTCGAATGGTATCAACTTTGAATGGAATCAAAGGGAATCATAGAATGGAATTGAATGCAATCATCATCGAATGGAATCGAATGGAATTATCGAATGGAATCAAATAGAATCATCGAACGGACTCGAATGCAATTATCGAATGGAATGGAATTGAATAATAAATGAAGATGAATGGAATCATCATTGTATGGAATCGAGTGGAATCATCGAATGGACTCGAATGGAATCATCGGAGAATGGAATCAAATAGAATGATCAAATGGACTCGAATGGAATCATCATCGAATGGAATCGAATGGAATCATTGAATGGACACGAATGGAATAATCATCAAATGCAATCAAATGGAGTCATCATAGAATGGAATCCAATGGAATCATCATCTAATGGAATCGAATGGAATCATCGAATGAAATAGAATTGAATCATCATCGAATGGAATCGAATGGAATCATAGAATTGAATCAGACAGAATCATCATCGAATGGAAGGGAATAGAAGCATCGAATGAAATCGAATGGAATCATCATCGAACGGACTCGTATGGAATCATCATCGAATGGACTTGAATGGAATCATCATCGAATGGATTCCAATGGAATCATGATCGAATGGAATCGAATGGAAACATCATCTAATTGAATCAAATAGAATCATCATGGAATTGAATTGAATTGCTCACCATTGAATGGAATCGAATGGAATCATCGAATGGAATTGAATGGAATCATCATTGAATGGAGTCGAATGGAGTCATCATCAAATGGAATAAAATGGAATCATCCAATGGAAGAGATTTGAATCATCATCGAATGGAATCGAATAGAATCATAGAACGAAATCGAAGGGAATCATCATTGAATAGAATTGAATGGAATTAACATCAAATGGAATCGAATGGAATCATCATCGAATGGAATTGAATGGAATCATCATTGAATGGAATCGAACGGAATCATCATCGAATGGAATCGAATGGAATAATCAAATATAATAGAATTGAATCACCATCGAATGGAATCGAATAGAATCATCAAATGAAATCAAATGGAATCATCATTGAATGGAATCGAATCGTCAATGAATGGAATTGAATGGAATCATAGAATGGAATCCAATGTAATCATCATCAAATTGAACCCAATGGAATCATTAAATGGACTCAAATGGAATCATTGAATGGAATCAAATGGAATCATCATTGAATGAAATCAAATGGAATCATCGAATGGACTTGAATGGAATCATCATCGAATGGAATTGAATGGAATCATCGAATGGAATCGAATGGAATCATCATCAAACGGAACCGAATGGTATCATCGAATGCACTGTAATGGAATCATCAATGAATGGTATCGAATGATACCATCAAATGAAATCAAATGGAATAATCTTCAATTGGCATTGAAAGGAATCACCGAATGGACTCGAATGGAATAGTCATCGAAAGGAATCAAATGGAATCTTCAAATGGAATCTAATGGAATCATCACTGAATGGACTAGAATGGAATCATCGAATGGACTAGAATGGAATCATCATCATATGGAATCGAATGGAATCATCAAATGGAATTGAATGGAATCATCATCAAATGTAATCAAATGGAATCATCATCGAATGGAATCAAATGGAATCATCATCGAATGGAATCAAATGGAATCATCATCGAATGGAATCAAAATGAATTAACATCAAATGGAGTAGAATGGATTCCATCATTATCTAATGGAATCCAAAGGAATCATCATTAAAGGGAACCGAATGGAATTGTCATCGAATGGAAACGAAAGGGGCCATTATCGAATGGAATTGCATGCAATCATCATCGAATGAAATCAAATGGAATCATCATCAAATGGAATGTAATGGAATCATCGAATGGAATTGAATGGAATCCTCATCGAATGAATTGAATGGAACCATCGAATGGTCTTGAATGGAATTATTACCAAATGGAATCAAAAGTATTCACCAAATAGAATCGAATGGAATAATCATTGAATGCACCCGAATGGAATCATCATCAAATGGAATCGAAAGGAATTATTGAATTGAATCGAATAGAATCATCGAATGGACTTGAATGGAATCATCGAATGGAATGGAATGGAATAATCAATGAACACGAAAGGAACAATCATTGAATGGAATCAAATGGAATAATCAAATGGAGTCGAATGCTGTCATCATCAAATGGAATCGAATGGAATCATCAAATAGAATCAAATTGAATCATCAAATGGAATCAAATGGAATCATCGTCGAGTGTAATCGAAAGGAATCATCGAATGGAATCACATGGAATCATCGAATGGAATTGAATGGAATCAGCATCGAATGAAATCAAATGGAATCAACATTGAATATAATCAAATGGAATCATTGAATGGAATCATCATCAAATGGATTCCAATGGAATCATCAAATGGACGCGAATGGAATCATCATAGAATGGAATTGAATGGAATCATCAAATGGAATCAAAAGGAATCATCATCAAATGGAATCGAATGGTATAATCGAATGCACTCAAATGGAATCATCAATGAATGGTGTGGAATGTATCATTGAATGGAATGGAATGGAATCATCTTCAACTGGAATGGAAAGGAATCACCGAATGGATTCGAATGGAATAATCATCAAAAGAAATCGAATGGAATCATCGAATCAAATTGAATGGAATCATCATCGAATGTAATCGAATGGAATCATCGAGTGGACTCAAATGGAATCATCATCATATGGAATCGAATGGAATAATCTAATGGAATCGAATGGAATCATCATCGAATGGAACCAAATGGAATTATCTAATGGAATTGAATGGAATCATCATCGAATGGAATCAAATGGAATCATCATCGAACACAATCGAAAGAATCAACAACAAATGGACTCGAAAGGAATAATCATCGAATGGAAACAAAAGGAGTCATAATCCAATGGAATCGCATGGAATCATCATCGAATGGAATCAAATGGAATCATCATCAAGTGGATTCTAATGGAATCATCTAAAGGAATTGAATGGAATCATCATTGAATGAAGTGAATGGAATCATCGAATGGTCTCGAAAGGAATCATCATCGAATGGAATTGAATAGAATCGGCATCAAAAAAATCGAATGGAATCATCAATGAATGGAATCGAATGGAATTTTCATCAAATGGAATTGAATGGAATCATCATCAAATAGAATCGAATGGGGTCATCAAATGAAATCGAATGGAATCATCACCAAATAGAATCGAAATAAAACAAAGAATGGAATCCAACGGTATCATCGAATGGAATCAAATAGAATCATCATTGAGTGGGCTCGAATGGAGTCATCATCGAATGGAAATGAATGGAATCATTTAATGGACTCGAATGTAATCATTGAATGGACTTGAATGGAATCATCGAATGGAATCGAATGGAATCATCACCGAATGAAATCAAATGGAATCATCGAATGGACTCGAATGGAATCATCATCGAATGGAGTCAAATGAAATCATGGAATGCACTCGAATGGAATCATCGAATGGACTCAAATGGAATCAATGTCGAGTGGAATCAAAAGGAAACGTCAAATGGACTTGAATGGAATCATCGAATGGACTCGAATGGAATCATCAAATGGAATTGAAAGTAATCTTCGAATGGACTTGAATGGAATCATTGAATGTACTCGAATGGAATCATCATCAAATGGAATCGAATGGAATCATCAAATGGAATCCAATGGAATCATCATTGAATGGAATTGAATGGAATCGTCATTGAATGGAATCGAATTGAATCATCATCGAATGGAATATAATGGAATCATCATCAAATGGAAAGGAATGGAATCATCAACGAATGGAATCAAATGGAGAAATCGAATGAAATCCGTTGGAATCATCATCAGATGGAACCGAATGCAGTCATCATAGAATGGAATCAAATGGAATCATCAAATCTATTAGGAGGGAATCATCATCGAATGGAATTGAATGGAATCACCCAATGGGCTCGAATGGAATCATCATCAAATGGAATCAAATGGAATCATCGAATGGACACGAATGGAATCATTGTTGAATGGAATCCAATGGAATTACCGAATAGCATCAAATGGAATCATCATTTAATGGAATCTAATGGAATCATTGAATGGACTCGAAAGGAATCATCGAATGGACTTGAGTGGAATCATCATCAAATGGAATCAAATGGAATCATTGAATGGACTCGAATGGAATCATCATCGAATGGAATTGAATGAAATCATAATTGAATGGAATCGAATGGAATCATCATCGAATGGAGTAAAATGGAATCATCACTGAATACAATCGAATGGAATCACCGAATTGAATCAAATGGAAAGATCATCGAACGGAATCAAAGGGAATCATCAAATGGGATCGAACAGAGTCATCGAATGGAATCCAGTGGAATCATCTAATGGATTCGAATGGAATCATCATCGAATGGAATCATCAAATGGACTCGAATGGAATCTTCATCGAATGGAATCAAATGGAATTATCGAATGGACACAAATGCAATCATCATTGAATGGAATCGAAAGGAATCATCAAATATCATCGAATGGAATCATCATTGAAAGGAATCGAATGGAATCATCGAATGGAGTTGAATGGAATCATCTTCGAATGGAATAGAAATAGAATCATCGAATAGCATCGAACGGAATCATCAAATTGAGTAGAATGGAATCATCAAATGGATTCTAATGGAATCATCATGGAATGTAATCGTACAGAATATTCGAATGGACTCGAATTGAATCATCATTGAATGCAATTGAATGGAATCATCATCGAATGGAATCGAATGGAATCATCATCGAATGGAATCGAATGGAATCTTCGAATGCAATAGAATTGAATCATCATTGAATGGAATCGAATAGAATCATTGAATGAAATCGAATGGAATCATCATTGAATGCAATTGAATGGAATCATCATCGAATGGAATGGAATGGAATCAACAACGAATGGAATCCAATGGAATCATCATCAAATGGAACCAAATGGTATCATCAAATTGACTCGAATGGAATCATCAAATGGACTCGAATGGAATCATCATTGAATGGAATAGAATGGAATAATGGAATGCACTCGAATTGAATCATCGAATGGACTCGAATGGAATCATCATCAAGTTGAATTGAAAGGAATCATTGAATGGACTTGAATGGAATCATTGAATGGACACTAATGGAATATTCATTGAACGGAATCAAATGGAATCATCAAATGGAATCATCGTCGAATGGAATCAAATGGAATCATC
This sequence comes from Homo sapiens, assembly GCF_000001405.40. Taxonomy (NCBI): domain Eukaryota; kingdom Metazoa; phylum Chordata; class Mammalia; order Primates; family Hominidae; genus Homo; species Homo sapiens. The sequence continues at coordinate 43,340,825 of NC_000009.12, read as the reverse complement.
ATTGAATGGAATCGAATGGAATCATCATGGAATGGAATCAAATGAAATCATCATCGCATGGAAACGAATGGAATCATCATCGAATGGAATTGAATGGAGTCAACGAATGGAATCCTTTGGAATCATCATCGAATGGCACTGAATGCAGTCATCATCGAATGGAATCAGATGGAATTATCAAATTGACGTGAATGGAATCATCATCGAATGGAATTGGACGTAATTATCAAATGGACGTGAATGGAATCATCATTGAATGGAATCAAATGGAATCATCGAATGGACTCGAATGGAATTATCATTGAATGGAATCGAATGGATTCATCAAACGGACTCGAATGGAATCATCATCTAATGGAATTGAATGGAATCATCGAACAGAATGGAATGGAATCATCATCAAATGGAATCCAATGGAATCATGGAATGGAATCGAATGGAATCATCATCAACTGGAATTGAATGGAATCATCGAATGGACTCGAATGGAATCATCAGAGAATGGAAGCGAATGGAATGATTGAATGGACTCGAATGGAATCTACTTTGAATGGAATCAAAGGGAATCATCGAATAGAATCAAATGCAATCATCATCCAATGGAATGAAATGGAATCATCGAATGGAATCGAATGGAATCACCATTGAATGGACTCGAATGGAATCATCATCGAATGGAAATGAATGGAATCATTGAATGGAGTCGAATGGAATCACTATCGAATGGAATCAAATGGAATCATCGAATGGAATCAAATGGAATCATCATCAAATATACTCAACCAGAATCATTGAATGTAATTGAATATAATCATCCTGGAATGCAAAAGAATAGAATAATCAAACGGAATCGAATTGAATCAACATTGAATGGAATTGAATGGAACCATAGAAAGGTATCAAATCAAATCATCATCAAATGGAATCAAATGTAATCGTCATCGAATGGAATCCAAAGCAATTACTGAATGGACTTGAATAGAATCATTGAATGGAGTTGAAAGGAATCATCATCAAATGGAATAGAATGGAATAATTGAATGGACTCGAATGGAATCATCATCAAATTGAATCAAATGAAATCATCGTATGGACTCAAATGGAATCATCGTTGTATGGAATCGAATGTGGTCATCTTCAAATGGAATCATCGAATGGACTCGACTATAATGATCAAACGGACTTGAATGGAATCATCAAAAGGAATCAAATGAAATCATTGAATGGACTCGAATGCAATTATCAAATGCACTTGAATGGAATCATCGAATGGACTCTAATGGAATCATCATCGAATGGAATCATCAAAGGTACACGAATGCAATCATTGAATGGACTCGAATGGAATCACCGAATGCACTCAAATGGAATAATCATCGAATGGAATCGAATGGAATCATCCAATGGAATCAAATGGAATCATCAAATGGAATCGAACAGAATCATCATCGAATGGAACCGAATGGAATCATTGAATGGAATCAAAGGCAACCATTGTCAAACAGAATCAAATGGAAACATCATCGGGTAGAATTGAATGGAATCATCAAATGGAATCAAATGGAATCATCGTAAATGGAATCAAGTGGAATCATTGAATGGAATCTAATGGAATCATTGTCGAATGGAATGAAATGGAATCATTGAATGGAATTGAATGGAATCACCAATGAAGGGAATCAAATGGAATCCTCATTGAATGGTTTCAAATGGAATCATCGAATGGACTCAAATGGAATCATCATCGAATGGAAACGTGTGGAATCATTGAATGAACTCGAAATGAATCATAATCGAATGGAATCAAAATGAATCATCATCAAATGGAATCGAAATGAATCATCATCGAATGGAATCACATGGAATCCTCATGGAATGGAATCGTACAGAATCATCATCAAATGGAATTGAATGGAATCATCAATTGGACTCGAATGGAATCATCAAAAGGAATCGAATGGAATCATCAAAAGGACTCGAATGGAATCATAAAATGGACTTGAACAGAATCATTATAGAATGGAATTGAATAGAGTAATTGGATGGACTTGAATGGAATCATCATTGAGTGGAATTGATAGGAATCATTGAATGCACTCGAATGGAATCATCATCGAATGGAATTGAATGGGATCATCGAATGGACTCGAATGTAATCATCATCAAATGGAATTGAATAGAATCATCGAATGGGATCAAATGTAATCATCATCTAATGGAATAGAATTGAATCATCGAATGGAATTATCAGATGGAATCAAATGGTATCATCTTTGAATGGATTCAAATGGAATCATCGAAAGGAATTGAATGCAATCATCTTCGAATGGAATAGTATAGACTCATTGAATGGAATCGAATGGAATCACCATTGAATGGACTCGAATGGAATCATCATTGAATAGAATCAAAAGGAATCACCAAATGGACGTGAATGGAATCATTGAATGGGATCGAATATAATCATAAAATATAATCAAATGGAATTATCAAATGGAATCGAATTGAATCATCATCGAATGGAATCGAATAGAACCATCGAATGGAATCGAATGGAATCAACATTGAATGGAATTGAATGGAATCATAGAACAGTATCGAATGGAATCATCATTGAATGGAATTGAATGGAATCATCATCGAATGGAATCGAAAATAAATATTGAATGGACTCAAATATAATCAGTGAATGGAGTTGAATTGAATCATCATCGAATGGAGTAGAATGGAATCATCGAATGGACACGAATGGATTCATCATCGAATTGAATCAAATGGAATCATCGAATGGACTCCAATGGAATCATCATCGAATGGAATATAATGGAATCATCATCAAATGGAGTCAAATGGAATCATCTAAAGGACATGAATGCAGTCATCATCGAATGGAATCGAATGGAATCATCACCGAAAGGAATCGAAAGGAATCATAGAATGGAATCAAACGGAATCATTGAATGGAATCGAATGGAATCATCACTGAATGGACTCGAATGCAATTATCATCGAATGGAATTGAATGGAATCATCGAATGGACTCGAATGGAATAATTGAATGGACTTGAATGGAATAATCAAATGGACTCAAATGGAATCATCGAATGGAATCAAATGGAATGATTGAATGAACTCGAATGGAATCATCATCAAATGGAATGGGATGGAATCATCGAATGGAATCGAATGGAATCATCAAATGGACGTGAATGGAATTATCGAATGGTCTCGAATGGAATCATCAAATGGACGCTAATGGAATCAACATCAAATGGAATCTAATGGAATCATCAAATGGACTCGAATGGAATCATTGAATTGACTCTAATGAAAACATCAAATGGATTCGAATGGAATCATCTTGGAATGGTATCGAATGGAATCCTCAAATAGAATCAAATGGAATTATGAAATGGAATCAAACAGAATCATCATTGAATGGAATCGAATGGAATCATTAAATGGAATCGAAGGCAATCATCATCGAATGGAATCAAATGGAATCATCGAATGGAATCGAATAGAATCATCATCAAGTGGAATTGAGTGGATTATCGAATGGAATTGAATGGAATCATTGTCGAATGGAATGGAATGGAATCAATGAATGGAATTGAATGGAATCACCAATGAATGGAATTGAATGGAATCATCATCGAATGGAATCGAATGGAATCATCATCAAATGGAATCGTGTGAAATCATGTAATGGGCATGAATATAATCATCATCGAATGGAATCGAATGGAATCATCATCAAATAGAATGGAATGGAATCACTGAATGGACTCGAATGGAATCATCATCAAATAGAAATGAATGGCATCAACAAATTGACTCGAATGGAATATAATCAAATGGAATCAAAAGCAATCATCGAATGGACTCAAATGGAATTATCAAATGGACTCGAATGGAATCATCGAATGTACCCGAATGGATTCATAATCAAATGGACTCAAATGGAATGATTGAATGGACTCAAATGGAATAATCGATTGGACTCAAATGGAATTATCAAATGGGCTCGAATGGAATCATCGAATGTACCCGAATGGATTCATAATCAAATGGACTCAAATGGAATGATTGAATGGACTCAAATGGAATAATCGATTGGACTCAAATGGAATTATCAAATGGGCTCGAATGGAAACATTGAATGGACTCGTATGGAATCATTATCAAATGGAATCAAATGGAATCATCAAATGGAATCAAATGGATTCATCGAATGGAATTGATCAGAATCATCATCAAATGTAATCAAATGGAATCATCAAATGGAATTGAATGGAATCAGCATCGAATGAAATCGAATGAAATCATCATCAAATACAATCGAATGGAATATTGGAATGGAATCATCATCAAATGGAGTCCAATGGAACCATGAAATGGACGCGAATGGAATCATCATAGAATGGAATTGAATGGAATCATCGAATGGAATCGAATGAAATCAAATGGTAACATCGAATGCACTCGAATGGAATCATCAACGAATGGTATCGAATGGTATCATCGAATGCAATTGAATGGAATCATCTTCATTTGGGATCAAAAGGAGTCACCGAATGGACTCAAATGGAATAATAATCGAAAGGAATCAAATGGAATCATCGAATGGAATCACTGAATGGACTCGAATGGAATCATCAAATGGACTAGAATGGAATCATCATCGTATAGAATAGAATTGAATCATCATCAAATGTAATCAAATGGAATCATCATCAAATGGAATCAAAAAGAATCAACATCAAATGGAGTCGAATGGAATCATCATCGAATGGAATTCAAAGGAATAATCATCGAATGGAACCGAATGGAATCATCATTGAATGGAAATGAAAGGAGTCATAATCGAATGGAATCACATGGATTCATCGTCGAATGGACTCGAATGGAATCATCATTGAATGGAATTGAAAGGAATCATCAAATGGACTTGAATGGAATCATTCAAAGAACTCGAATGGAATCATCATCGAATGAAATCGAATGGAGTCATCGAATGGACACGAATGGAATCACCATCGAATGGAATCGAGTGGAATCATCGAATGGAATCGAATGGAATCATCATTGAATGGAATTGAAAGGAATCATCATTGAATGGAATCGAATGGAATCATCATTGAATGGAACATAACGGAATCATCATCTAATGGAACCGAATGGAATCATCATCAAATGGAATCAAATGAAATCATCATTGAAAGGAATCTAAGGGAATCATCAAATGGAATCAAACGGAATAATTCAATGGAATTGAATGGAATCATCATCGAATGGACTCAAAAGGAATTATCATCAAACGGCATCGAATGGGATCATCGAATGGACTCAAATGGAATAATTGAATGGAATCGAATGGAATCATCAAATGGAATCGAATGGAAACATCATAGAATGGAATCGAATGGAATCATCGAATGGAATCGAATGGAAACATCATCGAATGGAATCGAATGGAATCATCAAATGGACTGGAATGGAATCATTGAATGGAACGGAATGGAATGATCATCGAATGGAATTGAGTGGAATTCTCGAATGTAATCAAATGGAATCATCAAATGGAATCGAATGGAATCATCATCAAATGGAATTGAATGGAATCTTTGAATGTAATTGAACGCAATCATCATCGAATGGAATTGAATGGAATTATCACCGAATAGAATCAAATGGAATCATTGAGTGGAATTGAATGGAGTCATCATCAAGTGGAATCGAGTGTAATCATCGAATGGAATCGAATGGAATCATCGTCGAATGTATTTGAATGGAATCTTCAAATGAAATCAAATGGAATCATCGAATGGAATTGAAAGGAATCAGCATCGAACAAAATAGAATGGAATCATCATTGAATAGAATCAAATGGAATCATTGAATGGAATTATCATCAAATGGAGTCCAATGGAATCATCAAATGGACTCAAATGGAATCATCGAATGGACTCTAATGGAATCATTGAAGGGAGTCGAATGGAATCATCATCCAATGGAATCAAATGAAATCATCCTCAAATGGAACCGAATGGAATCATCACTGAATGGAATCGAATGGAATCATCAAATTAAACCAGATGGAATCATCTTCGAATGGAATCGAATGAAATCATTGAATGAAATCAAATGGAATCATCATAAATGGAGTCGAATTAAATCATCATCGAATGGAATCCAATGGAATCATCAATGAAGGGAATCGAATGGAATCATCATCGAATGGAATCGAATGGAATCATCAACGAATGGAATCCAATGGAATCATCAAATGAAATCTAATGGAATCATCATCAAATGGAAATGAATGGAATCATTGAATGTACCCGAATGGAATCATCATCGAATGGAATAGAATGGAATCATCTAATTTACACGATTGGAATCATCATCGAATGGAATAGAATGGAATCATCAACGAATGGAATCTAATGGAATCATCTAATGGACCCGAATGGAATCATCATTGAATGGAATAGAATGGAATCATCACCGAAAGGAATCCAATGGAATCATCCAATGGATCCGAATGGAATCATCAGAGAATTGAATAGAATGGAATCATCATCGAATGGAATTGAATGGAATCATCTAATGGACAGGAATAGAATCATCATCGAATGGAATCATCTACTGTACCCAAATGGATTCATCATGGAATGGAATATAGAATGGAATCAAATGGAATCACCATCATATGGAATCAAGTGGAATCATCATTGAATGGATTAGAATGGAATCATTGGAGAATGGAATTGAATGGAATCATCGAATGAACTCGAATGGAATCATCATGGAATGGAATCGAATGGAATCATCTAATGGACCCCAATGGAATCATCATCAAATGGAATCAAATAGGATCAGTGAATGAAATCGAATGGAATCAACATCAAATGGAATCGAATGGAATCAATAGCGAATGGAATTGAAAGCAATCATTGAATGGACTCGAATAGAAACATCTAATGGACTTGAATGGAACCATCATTGAATGGAGTAGAATGGAATCATTGAATGGACCCGAATGGAATCATTATCAAATGGAATAGAATGGAATCATCTAATTTACACAATGGAATCATCATCAAATGGAATAGAATGGAATCATCTAATTTACATGAATGGAATCATCATCAAATGGAATAGAATGGAATCATCTAATTTACACGAATGGAATCATCATCAAATGGAATAGAATGGAATCATCAATGAATGGAATCTAATGGAATCATCTAATGGACCCCAATGGAATCATCATTGAATGGAATAGAATGGAATCATCATCGAATGGAATCCAAAGGAATCATCCAATGGATCCGAATGGAATCATCAGAGAATTGAATAGAATGGAATCATCATCGAGTGGAATTGAATGGAATTATCTAATGGACAGGAATAGAATCATCATCGAATGGAATAATCTATTGTACCCAAATGGATTCATCATGTAATGGAATAGAATGGAATCATCGAATGGAATCAAATGGAATCACCATCGTATGGAATTGAGTCGAATCATCATAGAATGGAATAGA
>NC_000009.12:43282956-43332174 GCF_000001405.40 Homo sapiens | reverse complement strand
ATCGAATGGAATCATCATCGAATGGAATCGAATCGAATCATCATCAAATGCGAATCGAATGGAATCATCAATGAATGGAATCGAATGCAATCATCATTGACATGAATCGAATGGAATCATCAATGAATGGAATAGAATGGAATCATCGAATGGAATCCCATGTAATCATCATCGAATTGAACCCAATGGAATCATTCCATGGACTCGAATTGCATCATTGAATGGACTCAAATGAAATCATCATTGAATTGAAAAGAATGGAATCATCGAAGAGATTCGAATGGAATCATCATCGAATGAAATCAAATGGAATCATTGAATGGACTCGAATGGAATCATCATCGAATGGACTTGAATGGAATCATTGAATGATCTCGAATGGAATCATCATCGAATGGAATCAGATGGAATCATCGAATGGTTTTGAATGGAATCATCGAATGGACTTGAATGGAATCATCATTGAATGGAATCGAATGGAATCATTGAATGGAATCGAATGGAATCATCATAGAATGGAATCAAATAGAATCGGCATGAAATAGAATCGAATGGAATCATCGTCGAAAGGATTAAAATGGAATTTTGATCAAATGGAATCGAATGGAGTCATCATTGAATAGAATCGCATGGGATTATCAAATGAAATCAAATGGAATCATCATCAAAAAGAATCGAAGTAAAGCAAAGAATGGAATACAACAGACTCATTGAATGTAATCGAATGGAATCACCATTGAAAGAACTCGAATGGAGTCATCATTGAATGGAATCGAATGGAATCATTTAATGGACTCGAATGGAATCATCGAATGGAATTGAATGGAATCACCATAGGATGGAATCGAATGAAATCATGGAATGCACTCGAATGGAATCATCGAATGGACCCAAATGGAATCAACGTCGAGTGGAATCGAAAGGAAACATCAAATGGACTCGAATGGAATCATCATTGAATGGAATCAAAATGAATCATCATCGAATGGAATCGAATGGAATCATCATAGAATGGAATCATCATCGAATGGACTCGAATGGAATCATCATTGAATGGAATCAAATGGAAACATCAAATGGAATCAAATGGAATCATCATTAAATGGAATAAAATGGAATCATCATCGAATGGAATTGAATGGAATCATCAATGAATGGAATCGAAAGGAGTCATCAAATGGAGTCCGTCAGAATCATCATCGAATGGAACCGAAGGCAGTCATCATCAATTGGAATCAAATGGAATCATCAAATGGACTCGATGGAATTATGATCGCATGGAATCAAATAGAATCATCGAATGGACTCGAAGGCAATCATTGAATGGACTCGAAGGGAATCATCATCGAATGGAATCGAAAGGAATCATTGAATGGACTCGAATGGAATTTTCATCGAGTGGAATCGAATGGAATCTTCGAATGGACCCGAATGGAATCATCATCGGATGGAATCAAAAGGAATCATCAAATGAACTTGAATGGAATCACTGAATGTACTCGAATGGAATCATCATCGAATGCAATCGAATGGAATGATCAAATTGACCCAAATGGAATCACTATCGAATGGAATTGAGTGGAATCATCATCGAATGGAATCGAATAGTATGATTGAATGCACTCGAATGGAATCGTCAATGATTGGTATCGAATGGTATCATCGAATGGAGTCGAACGGAATCATCTTCAATTGGCATCGAAATCAATCACGGAATGGACTCAAATGGAATAATCATCAAAAGAATCGAATGGAATCATCGAATGGAATCGAATGGAATCATCATCGAATGGAATTGAGTGGAATCATCGAATGGACTCGAATGGAATCATCATCAAAAGGAATCAAATTGAATCATCATAGAATGGAATCGAAAAGAATCAACATCAAATGGAGTTGAATGGAATCATCATCAAATGGAATCCAAAGGAATCATCATCGAATGGAAACGAAAGGAGTCATCGTCGAATGGAATCACATGGAATCATCATGAAATTGAATCGAATGGAATCATCATCAAATGGAATCTAATGGAATCATTGAATGGAGTTGAATGGAATCATCATCGAATTAATTGAATGGAATCATCGAATGGTCTCGAATGGAAACATTATCAAATGAAATCAAAAGGAATCATCGAATGGACTCTAAAGGAATCTTTGAATGGACGCGAATGGAATCTTCATCGAATGGACTCAGATGGAATCATCGAATGGACTTGAATGGAATCATCGATTGGACTCAAATGGAATTATAGAATGTCCTCGAATGGAATCATCGAAAGGACTCGAATGGAATCATTATTGAATGGAATAAAATGGAATCATCGAATGGAATTGAATGGAATCATTGAATGGAAATGATCGGAATCATCATCAAATGGAATGAAATGGAATCATCGAATGGAATTGAATGCAGTCATCATCGAATAGAATCGAATTGAATCATCAAATGGAATCGAATGGAATCATCATCAAATGTAATCGAATGGAAACTTCAAATGGAATCAAATGGAATCATCGAATTGAATTGAAAGAAATCAGCATTGAACAAAATCGAATGGAATCATCATCGAATAGAATCGAATGGAATCATTGAATGGAATCATCATCAAAGGGAGTCCAATGGAATCATCAAATGGACTCGAAAGGAATCATCAAATGGAGCCAAATGAAATCATCATCAAATGGAATCAAATGAAATCATCATCAAATGGAATCAAATGGAATCATCACTGAATGGAATCGAATGGAATCATCGAATGAAATCATATGGAATCATCATCGAATGGAATCGAATAGAAGCATCGAATGAAATCGAATTAAATCATCATCAAATGGACTCGAATGGAATCATCATCAAATGGACTCGAATGGAATCATCGTCCAATGGAATCGATTGGAAGCATCATCGAATGGAATCGAATGTAAGCATCATCGAATTGAATCAAATCAAATCATCATGGAATTAAAACGAATGGCTCATGATCGAATTGAACCAAATGGAATCATCATCGAATGGATTCAAATGGAATCATCAAATGGAATGGAATGGAATCATCATCAAAAGGAATCAAATGGAACCATTGAATGAAATCGAATGGAATCATCAGCGAATGGAGTCGAATGGAATCATCATAGAATGGAATCTAATGGAATCATCAACGAAGGGAATCAAATGGAATCATCATAGAATGGATACAAATGGAATCAACAACGAATGGAATCGAATCGAATCATTGAATGGAATCCAATGGAATCATCATCAAATGGAACCGAATGGAATCATTGAATGGACTCAAATGGAATCATCATCGAATGGACTCGAATGGAATCATCATCGAATGGAATCGAATGGTGTCATCGAATGGACTCAAATGGAATCATGGAATGGACGTGAAAGGAATCATTGAATGGAATTGAATGGAATCATCATCGACTGGAATCGAATGAAACCATTGAATGGACTCGAATGGAATCATCATCGAACGAAATCGAATGTAAGCATTGAATGGAATCGATGGAAACATCATCGAATGGAAACGAATGGAATCATTGAATGGAATCAAATGGAAACATCAATGAATGGAATCATCGAATGGCATTGAATGAAGTCATCATCAAATGGAATAGAATGGAGTCATCATCGAATGACATCGAATGGAAACATCGATTGGAATAGAATGGAATCATCATCGAATGGAAACGAACAGAATCATCGAATGAAATTGGATGGAATCATCATTGAAAGGAATCCAATGGAATCATGAATGAAGGGAATTGAATGGAATCATCATCAAATGGAATTGAATGTAACCATCGAATGGACTTGAATGGAATCATCATCAAATGGAAACGAATGGAATCATCGAATGAACTCGAATGGAATCATCATCAAATGGAATCGAATGGTGTCATCGAATGGACTCAAATGGAATCATCGAATGGACTCGGAATCATCGAATGGAATCAAAAGGAATCATCAACGAATGTAATCGAATGGAATCATAGAATGGAATCCAGTGTAGTCATCTTCTAATTGAACCCAACGGAATCATTAAATGGACTCTCATGGAATCATCGAATGGACTCAAATGGAATCATCTTCGAATGGAATAGAATGGAATCATCGAATACAATAGAATGGAATCATCAAATGGACTTGAATGGAATCATCATCGAATGGAATTGAACGGAATCATCAAATGGACTTGAATGGAATCATCATCGAATGGTATCAAATGGAATAATTGAATTTACTCAAATGGAATAATCATCAAATGGAACCGAATGGAATCATCATTGAATGGAATTGAAGGGAATCATCAAATAGACTTGAATGGAATCATCATCAAATGATATCAAATGGAATAATTGAATTTACTCAAATGGAATAATCATCAAATGGAACCGAATGGAATCATCATTGAATGGAATCAAATGGAATCGTCATCGAATGGAATCAAATGGAATCATCACCGAATGGGGAATCTAATGGAATCATCATGTAATGGAATCGAATGGAATCATCAACGAATGGAATCAAATGGAGAAATCGAATGGAATCCTTTGGAATCATCATCAAATGGAACCAAATGCAGTCGTCATCAAATGGAATCGAATGGAATCATCATGGAATAGAATCAAATGGAATCATTGAATGGAATGGAATGGAATCATCATGGAAAGGAATCGAAGGGAATCATCGAATAGAATCGAATGGAATCATTGAATGGAATTGAAGGGAATGATCATCGAATGGACTCAAATGGAATTATCATCAAAAGGAATCAAATGGAATCATCGATTGAACTCTAATGGAATAATCAGATGGACTCCAATGGAATCATCAAATGGAATCATTGAATGGACTCGAATGGAATCATCATCAAATGAAATTGGATGGAATCAACTAAGGGACTCGAATGGAATCATCAAATGGACTCGAATGGAATCATCATTGAATGGAATCGAATGAAATCATCGAATGGACATGAATGGAATCATAATCGAATGGAATCAAATGGGATCATCATGAAATGGAATAGAATGGGATCATCATCAAAAGAAATCCAATGGATTCACTGAATGGACTCGAATGTAATGATCAAATGGACTCGAATGGAATCATCAAATGGAATCGAATGGAATCATTGAATGGACTCGAATGGAATTATTGAATGGACTCGAATGGAGTCATTGAATGGACTCTAATGGAATCATCATAAAATGGAATCTTATGGAATCATCAAATGGACTCGAAAGTAATCATTGAATGAACTTGAATGAAGTCATCGAATCAAATGGAATCCTCGAATAGAATCAGATGGAATCATCAAATGGAATAGAAAGGAATCATCATCGAATGGAATCATATAATGGAATCGAATGGAATCATCGTCAAGTGGAATCATTGAATGGAATCGAATGGAATCATCGGAGAATGGAATCAAATAGAATCATCAAATGGACTCGAATGGAATCATCATCGAATGGAATCTAATGGAATCATTGAATGGACTCGAATGGAATCATCATTGAATATAATCAAAAGCAATCATCTAATGGATTTGAATAGAATCATCAAATGGACTCGAATGGAATCATCATCAAATGGAATCAAATGGAATCATTGAATGGACTCGAATGGAATCATCATTGAATGGAATCCAATGGAATCATCAAATGGAATTGAATGGAATCATCACTGAATGGAATCAAATGGAATCATCAAATGGACTCGAATGAAATCATTATCGAATGGAATCGAATGGAATCATTGAATGGAATCAAATGGAATCATCATCGAATGGAATCGAATGGAATCACTGTATGGACTCGAATGGAATCAACATCAAATGGAATTGAAAGGAATCATCTAATGGACTCGAAAGGAATCATCATTGAATGAAATTGAATGAAATCACCAAATGGAGACGAAAGGAATCATCATCAAATAGAATTGAATGGAATCATTGAATGGCCTCAAAAGGAATATCGTCGAATAGAATCAAAAGCCGTCATCGAATGGACTGAAATGGAATTATCGAATGGACTCGAATGGAATCATCAAATGGAATCGAATGGAATCATCATTGTATGGAATCGAGTGGAATCATCGAATGGACTCGAATGGAATCATCGGAGAATGGAATCAAATAGAATCATCAAATGGACTCGAATGGAATCATTATCGAATGGAATCGAATGGAATCATTGAATGGACTCGAATGGAATCATCATCGAATATAATCAAAAGCAATCATCAAATGGATTTGAATAGAATCATCAAATGGACTCGAATGGAATCATCATCGAATGGAATCAAATGGAATCATCGAATGGACTCGAATGAAATCATCATCGAATGGAATCCAATGGAATCATCAAATGGAATCGAATGGAATTATTATTGAATGGAATCAAATGGAATCATCAAATGGACTCGAATGAAATCATTATCGAATGGAATCGAATGGAATCATTGAATGGACTCGAATGGAATCATCATCGAATGGAATCAAATGGAATCATCAAATGGACTCGAATGGAATCATCATCGAATGGAATCAAATGGAATCATCGAATGGACTCGAATGAAATCATCATCGAATGGAATCCAATGGAATCATCAAATGGAATCGAATGGAATTATCATTGAATGGAATCAAATGGAATCATCAAATGGACTCGAATGAAATCATTATCGAATGGAATCGAATGGAATCATTGAATGGAATCAAATGGAATCATCATCGAATGGAATCGAATGGAATCACTGTATGGACTCGAATGGAATCACCATCAAATGGAATTGAAAGGAATCATCTAATGGACTCGAAAGGAATCATCTAATGGACTCGAAAGGAATCATCATTGAATGAAATTGAATGAAATCACCAAATGGAGATGAAAGGAATCATCATCAAATAGAATTGAATGGAATCATTGAATGGCCTCAAAAGGAATATCGTCGAATGGAATCAAAAGCCGTCATCGAATGGACTGAAATGGAATTATCGAATGGACTCGAATGGAATCATCAAATGGAATCGAATGGAATCATCATTGTATGGAATCGAGTGGAATCATCGAATAGACTCGAATGGAATCATCGGAGAATGGAATCAAATAGAATCATCAAATGGACTCGAATGGAATCATTATCGAATGGAATCGAATGGAATCATTGAATGGACTCGAATGGAATCATCATCGAATATGATCAAAAGCAATCATTAAATGGATTTGAATAGAATCATCAAATGGACTCGAATGGAATCATCATCGAATGGAATCAAATGGAATCATCGAATGGACTCAAATGAAATCATCATTGAATGGAATCCAATGGAATTATCAAATGGAATCGAATGGAATTATCATTGAATGGAATCAAATGGAATCATCAAATGGACTCGAATGAAATCATTATCAAATGGAATCAAATGGAATCATTGAATGGAATCGAATGGAATCATCATTGAATGGAATCGAATGGAATCACTGTATGGACTCCAATGGAATCATCATCAAATGGAATTGAAAGGAATCATTTAATGTACTCGAAAGGAATCATCTAATGGACTCGGAAGGAATCATCATTGAATGAAATCGAATGGAATCACCAAATGGAGATGAAAGGAATCATCATCGAATAGAATAGAATGGAATCATTGAATGGACTCAAAAGGAATATCGTCGAATGGAATCAAAAGCCGTCATTGAATGGACTGAAATGGAATTATTGAATGTACTTGAATGGAATCACCGAATGGATTCGAATGGAATCATCATTGAATGGACTCAAATGGAATGATCGAATGGACTCGAATGGAATCATGGATTGGATTCAAATGGAATTATCGAATGGGCTCGAATGGAATCATCGAATGGACTCGAATGGAATCATTATCGAATGGAATAAAATGGAATAATCAAATGAATTGAATGGAATCATCGAATGGAATCGATCGGAATCTTCATCGAATGTAATAAGATGGAATCATCGAATGGAATCGAATGCAGTCATCATCGAATGGACTCGAATAGTATCATCATCGAATGGAATCGAATGGAATCATCAAATGGATTTGAATGGAATCATCATCGAATGGAATCTAATGGAATAATCGAATGAACTGGAATGGAATCATCGAATAGAGTTGAATGGAATCATCATCAAATGAAATAGAATGGAATCATAGAATAGCATCGAATGGAATCATCGTCGAATGGAGTCGAATGGAATCATCAAATGGACTCGAACGGAATCGTCACGGAATGTAATCGAATGGAATCTTCGAATGGACCCAAATGGAATCATCATCGAATGCAATCGAATGGAATCATCATCGAATGGAATCGAATGGAATCATCATCGAATGGAATAAAATGTAATCATAGAATTGAATAGAATGGGATCATCATCGAATGGAATCAAATAGAATCATTGAATGAAATCGAATGTAATCATCATCGAGTGGAATCTAATGGAATCATTGAATTGAATAGAATGGAATCATCATCGAATGGAATCAAATAGAAGCATTGAATGAAATTGAATGGAATCAACATCGAGTGGAGTCGAATGGAATCATCAACGAATGGAATCGAATGGAATCATAGAATGGAATCCAATGTAATCATCATTGAATTGAACCCAATGGAATCATTAAATGGACGCGAATGGAATCATCAAATGGACTCAAATGGAATCATCATCGACTGGAATAGAATGGAATCATCAAATACAGTCGAATGGAATCATCATCGAATGAAATCAAATGGAAGCAACGAATGGACTCGAATGGAATCATCATCGAATTGAATCCAATGGAATCATTGAATGAACTCGAATGGAACCATCATCGAGTGGAATTGAAAGGAAACATCAAATGGACTTGAATGGAATCATTGAATGGACTCAAATGGAATCATCATTGAATGCAATCGAATAGAATCATTGAATGGCATCGAATGGAATCATCATCAAAAGGAATCGAATGGAATCATCGAATGGACTCGAATGGAATCACCATTGAATGGAATCAAATGGAATCATCATCAAATGGAATCGAATGTAAGCATTGAATGGACTTGAATGGAATCATCATCGAATGGAATTGAATGGAATCATTGAACGGAATCGAATGGAATCATTGAGTGGCATCAAATGGTATCATCATCAAATGGAATCATCGAATGGAATTGAATGGAATCATCATCAAATGAAATCAAAGGGAATCATTGAATGGCATCGAAAGGAATCATCATCCAATGGAATCAAATAGAATCATCTAACGGACTCGTTTGGAATCATCATCGAATAGAATTGAGTGGAATCACCGAATGGACATGAATGGAATCGTCATCAAATGGAATCAAATGGAATCATAATCAAATGGAGTCAAATAGAATCATCATAGAATGGAATCGAATGGAATCATCAAATGGAATAGAATGGAATCATCATCAAATGGAATCAAATAGAATCATCGAATGAAATCAAATGGAATCATCATCAAATGGAATTGAATGGAATCATAATCGAATGAATCGAATGGAATCATCATCGAATGGAATCGAATGGAATCATCAATAAATGGAATCGCATGGAATCATCGAATGGAATCTAATGGAATCATCATCACATGGAACCGAATGGAACCATCATGCAGTGGAATCTAATGGAATCATCATCGAATGGAATCCAATGGGATCACTGAATTGAATGGAGTGATCATCGAATGGAATCAAAGGGAATCATCAAATGGGATCGAAAGGAATCATCGAATGGAATCGAATGGAATCAT
Organism: Homo sapiens; assembly: GCF_000001405.40. Lineage (NCBI taxonomy): Eukaryota > Metazoa > Chordata > Mammalia > Primates > Hominidae > Homo > Homo sapiens. The sequence goes on along the minus strand of NC_000009.12, from coordinate 43,322,360 downwards.
CAAATGGATTCGAATGGAATCATCATCAAATGGAATAGAGTGGAATCATCGAATGGACTCGAGTGGAATCATCATTGAATGGAATCAAATGGAATCATTGAATGGACATGAATAGAATCATCATTGAATGGAATCCAATGGAATCATTGAATGGACTCAAATGGAAATATCCTCAAATGGAACCAAATGGAATCATCGAATGGCATCGAATAGAATCATCAATGAATGGTATCTAAGGGAATAATCAAATGGACTTGAATGGAATCATCTAATGGACTCGAGTGGAATCATCATCGAATGGACTCAAATGGAATCATCGAATGGACTCGAATGGAATCATCATCGAATGGAATTGAATGGAATCATCAAATGGACTTGAATGGAATCATCATCAAATGGAATCTAGTGGAATCAGAGAATGGACTCGAATGGAATCATCATGGAATGGAATGGAATGGAATCATCGAATGGACTCGAATGGAGTCATGATCGAATGGAATCTAATGGAATCTTCGAATGGACTCAATTGAAATCATCATCAAATGCAAGTGAATGGAATCATCATCGAATGGAATCGAATGGAATCATCATCGAATGGAATCGAATGGAATCATCATCGAATGGAATCGAATGGAATCATCATCGAATGGAATCGAATGGAATCATCATCGAACAGAATCGAATGGAATCATCATCGAATGGAATCGAATGGGATCATCATCGAATGGAATAGAATGGAATCATCCAATGGAATAGAATTGAAACATCATCGAATGGGATCGAATGGAATCATTGAATGAAATTGAATGGAATCATCATCTAATGGAATAAAATGGAATCATCATCGAATGGAATTGAATGGATTCATCGTCCAATGTAATTGAATGGAATCATCATCGAATGGAATCAAATGGAATCATCATCAAATGGAATCGAATGGAATCAGCAACGAAAGAAATCGAATGGAATCATAGAATGGAATCCAGTGTAATCATCATCGTATTGAACTCAATGGAATCATTAAACGGACCCGAATGGAATCATTAAGTGGACTCGAATGGAATCTTCATCAAATGGAATAGAATGGAAACATTCAATGCAATTGAATGGAATCATCATTGAATGAAATCAAATGGAATCATCGAATGGACTCAAATGGAATCATCATTGAATGGAATCGAATGGAATCATCGAATGGACTCGAATGGAATCATCATCGAATGAACTCAAAAAGAATGATCGAATGGACTTGAATGGAATCATCATTGAATGGACTCAAATGGAATGATTGAATGGACTCGAATGGAATCATGGATTGGACTCAAATGGAATTATCAAATCGGCTCGAATGGAATCATCGAATGGACTCCAATGGAATCATTATCAAATGGAATCATCGAATGGAATTGAATGGAATCATCGAACGTAATCGATCGCAATCTTCATCGAATGGAATCAAATGTAATCATTGAATGGAATTGATTGCAGTCATCATTGATTGGAATCAAATGGAATCATCCTCAAATGTAATCAAATGGAATCATCAAATGGAATCAAACGGAATAATCAAATGGAATTGAATGGAATCAGCATCAAATGATATCGAATGGAATAATCATCGAATAGAATCGAATGGAATCATTGAATGGAATCATCATCAAATGGAGTCAAATGGAATCATCAAATGGACTTGAATGGAATCATCATAGAATGGAATTGAATGGAATCATTGAGTGAAATCGAATGGATTCATCATTGAATGGGATCGAATGGTATCATGGAATGCACTCAGATGGAATCATCAACTAATGGTATCAAATGGTATCATTGAATGGAAACGAATGGTATCATCTTCAATTGGAATCAAAAGGAATCACTGAAAGGACTCGAATGGAATAATCATCAAAAGGATTCAAATGGAATCATTGAATGGAATCGAATGGAATCATCATCAGATGGAATTGAATGGAATTATCGAATGGACTCGAATGGAATCATCATCGTATGGAATCGAATGGAATCATCATTGGATGGCATCAAATGGAATCACCATCGAATGGCATAGAAAAGAATCAACATCAAATGGAGTCAAAAGGAATCATCATTGAATGGAATCCAAAGGAATCATCATCGAAAGGAACCAAATGGAATCATCATCGAATGGAATCGAATGCAATCATCGAATGGAATTGAATGGAATCATCATCGAATGAATTGAATGGAATCATCGAATGGTCTCGAATGGAATCATTATCAAATGGAATCGAATGGAATCACCAAATAGAATCGAATGGAATAATCATCGAATGGACTCGAATTGAATTATCATCAAATGGAATCGAATGGAATTATTGAATGGAATAGAATAGAATCATCGAAAGGACTCGAATGGAATCATCGAATGGAATGGAATGGAATAATCAATGAACTCGAATGGAATCATCATTGAATGGAATCAAATGGAATCATCGAGTGGAATCGAATGGAATCATGATCAAATGGAATCGAATGGAATCATCATTGATTGGAATCGAAAAGAATCATCATCAATTGGAATTGAATGGAATCGTCATCAAATGGAATCCAAAGGAATCATCATTGAATGGAACCGAATGGAATCATCATTGAATGGAAACGAAAGGAGTCATCATCAAATGGAATCGCATGGAATCATCATTGAATGGAATCATCATCAAATGGAATCTAATGAAATCATCAAATGGAATTGAATGGAATCGTCATCGAATGAATTGAATGGAATCATCGAATGGTCTCGAATGGAATCATCTTCAAATGGAATAGAATGGAATCATCACATAGAATCCAATGGAATTATCATCGAATGGACTCAAATGGAATCAACATCAAACGGAATCAAATGGAATTATCGAATGGAATCAAAGAGAATCATTGAATGGACTCGAATGGAATCATCAAATGGAATGGAATGGAATAATCCATGGACTCGAATGCAATCATCGTCGAATGGAATCGAATGGAATCATCAAATGGACTCGAATGGAATCATCATCGAATGGAATCGAATGGAATCATCATTGGATGGAAACGAATGGAATCATCATCGAATGGAATCGAACGGAATCATCGAATGGAATCAGATGGAATCATCATCAAATGGAATCGAATAGAATTATGGAAGGAAATCGAATGTGATCATCATCGAATGGACTCGAATGGAATCATCATCCAATGGAAACTAATGGAATCAACATCGAATGGAATAGAATGGAAACACCATCGAATTGAAACGAATGGAATTATCATGAAATTGAAATGGATGGACTCATCATCGAATGGATTCGAATGGAATCATTGAATGGAATTGATTGGAATCATCGTCAAATGGAATCAAATGGAATCATTGAATGGAATCGAATGGAATCATCTTCGGATGGAAACGAATGGAATCATCGAATGGAATCAGATGGAATCATCATCAAATGGAATCAAATAGAATTATGGAATGAAATCGAATGTGATCATCATCAAATGGACTCGAATGGAATCATCATCCAATGGAAACTAATGGAATCAACATCGAATGGAATAGAATGGAAACACCATCGAATTGAAACGAATGGAATTATCATGAAATTGAAATGGATGGACTCATCATTGAATGGATTCGAATGGAATCATTGAATGGAATCGAATGGAATCATCTTCGGATGGAAATGAATGGAATCATCATAGAATGGAATCGAATGGATTCATTGAATGGAATCAGATGGAATCATCAAATGGACTTGAATGGAATCATCGAATGGACCTGAGTGGAATCATTATTGAATTGAATGGAATCATCAAACGGTCTCGAATGGAATCATCATCAAATGGAATCGAATTTAATCATCGAATGGAATCGAATGGAATCATCATCAAATGGAATCGAATAGAATCGGCATCAAATAGAATTGAATGGAATCATCATCAATGGAATCGAATGGAATTTTCTTCAAATGTAATCGAATGGAAACATCATTGAATAGAATCAAATGGGATCATTGAATGAAACAGAATGGAATCTTTATCAAAACGAATCAAAATAAAACAAAGAATGGAATCCAATGGAATCATCGAATGGAATCAAATGGAATCATCATTGAACGGACTTGAATGGAGTCATCATCAAATGGAATCAAATGGAATCATTTAATGGACTCGAATGGAATCATTGAATGGACTCGAATGGAATCATCGAATGGAATCCAATGTAATCATCATCGAATGAAATCAAATGTAATCATCAAATGGAATCAAATGGAATCATCATCGAATGGAATCGAATGAAATCATGGAATGCACATGAATGGAATCATCGAATGGACTCAAATGGAATCAACATTGAGTGGAATCGAAAGAAAACATCAAATGGAGTTGAATGGAGTAATCAGATGGAATCATTGAATGGAATAGAATGGAATCATCGAATGGACCCGAAAGGAATCATCATCGAATGTAATCAAATGGAATCATCGAATGGAATCCAATGGAATCATCATTGAATGGAATCGAATGGAATCATCATCGAATGGAATCAAATGGAATCGTCATCGAATGGAATCATCATTGAATGGAATCATCAGTGAATGGAATCAAATGGAGTCATCAAATGGAGTCCGTTAGAATCATCATCAAATGGAACCGAATGCAGTCGTCATCTAATGGAATCAAATGGAATTATCGAATGGACTCAATGTAATCTTCATCGCATGGAATCGAATGGAATCATTGAATGGACTCAAATGGAATTATCATCGAATGGAATCGAATGGAATCATTGATTGGACACGAATGGAATCACCATCGAATGGAATAGAATGGAATCTTCGAATGGAATCGAATGAAATTATTGAATGGAATTGAATAGAATCATCATTGAATAGAACCGAATTGGATCATCATCGAATGGAGTCTAATGAAATCATCATCGAATGGAATCTAGTGGAGTCATCATCTAATGGAATGGAATGGAATGGAATCAGCAAGGAATGGAATCTAATGGAGAAATTGAATGGAATCCGTTGGAATCATCATCGAATGGAACCGAATGCAGTCATCATAGAATGGAATCGAATGGAATCAACAAAGGGACTCGAATTGTGTCATCATTAAATGGAATCAGATGGAATCATCAAATGGACTCGAATGGAATCATTGAATGGACTCGAATGGAAACATCATCGTATGGAATCGAATGGAATCCTCGAATGGACTCTAATGGAATCATCATCGAATGGAATCAAATGGAATCAAATTGAATCATTGAATGTACTCTAATGGAATCATCATCGAATGGAATCGAATGGAATTATCAAATGGACTCGAATGGAATCATTGAATGGACTCGAATGGAATCATCATTGCATGGAATTGAGTGGAATCCTCGAATGGAATCAAATGGAATCATCAAATGGAATTGAACAGATTTATAAGAAACTTACTTGAACCAAAATTAGAAAAACAAACAAACCAAAAGCCCCTAAAACTGTGATGAGCAAAGTAGACATCAGAATAGGAAATATCACTGGGGATGAAGAATAACATTTCAAAATGACAAAGGAGAAAATACACCAAGAATTCATGTAAATAAGTAATATGTATGCACACAATAGCATTACTTCAAAATACATAATATAAAACTATTAAAATTGAAAGGTAAAATAGTAAAACCACAGTCATCCATGGGGATTTCAACAGTCTCCCGCCAGAAATTTTTAAATTTTGTTAAGCGAAAAGTTGGTAAGGGTAGAGAGGATCTTAAAAATATAATTAGCCAACTTGATCTAATTGAATCTTTTAGAATAATCTAAGGATGAGGAATGAGGTAGCAGAGAAAGAAAAGGCAGACATCAACGTGACATTAGTGTTTCAAGACTATGAGAATACACCAATAATGGTGTGTGTGTGTGTGCAGATGGTAAGCTCAATCTTAAAAATATTGAGTTTTAACTGACAATTCATTATTAGGAAAGATAAGAGGAAATGATATCTAGTGAGAGGCTATATGACTGAACTCTAAGAGAAAGGTCACAGCAGAAATTGTGTACTTGACAGCTCTATAAGGAGGTCAGTCAAAAATAAGTCATTGATGAATTCTCTGGTGTAAAAGCAGATGAATGAGAATTAGATTTAAAACACATGGAAGCAGAGTGACTTATGATAAAAACATGAGCTTGAAAATCCTGCAGAGAGGGCTTTAAATCCTGGGTATGATATTCTGCTTATGTAGGCAATAGTGGTAAAAACACAACAACAAAGAGAGGTAAAGAGCACTTTCCTTTGATATAAGTAAAGGGCACGTCTTATTGCACATATATATATAGGTATTCAACTGAGATTCAACATGTTTCTCTCATTGAAACAGCAAGCTCTCCAGGCCTTCATGTTTCCAGTGAGGTAGGTAAACTTCTGATGATTATACTCACCCTCCCTCATTGCAAAGCTCCCATTGTTATTGTCTTGGCTCTGGATTCCCTCAAAAATAGACTATGAAACAAATATCTGGGGTCAAATACTTTAATCAGAAATTGAGTGAGAAAGCACAGAAGTGGAGAAAATGAAACAGAACACGAAGCCAGTGTGAATGAGTACTTACTGCTATGTGCTCAGTAATGATGGAGGTATGGAGATTGTCTCAAAATAACTTTACAAAGAGATGGGGATGCTGGAATCCCCATCTCTTATTGCTTAAGGATTGCCTTAGAGTCATTAACTCTCCACCCCTAACTCCTTCTTTGTTCCTATGTGTGATTGAGAAGCACTGGTTAGCCTCAAGAAGCTTGCAGGTAAGCCCAAAAATCAGAAAGACAGGCATGATATGGGGAGCTCTCAGTTAGCTGGAAACAGGTGAATTTCAGGTGAACACATTAAGTCCAGGACATAGAAGACAAGTCATCAGCAATACCTGCTATAGCCAGTTTTCTTTGTCTTTTTAAGAATATACATACTTTTTATTGGGGTTTCCCAAGTCCCCCTTTGGTTTAATGATTCACATAACTCAAGAAAGCTTATTTTTTTTGTGGTTATAGTTTCTAACTGTGAAAGAAAACAGATTAAAATAATCAGAAGCATAAAAGCACATAAAGTTGAGTCCAGGACAAACCAGATGTGAGCTTACAGGTGTCCTTTCATAGTGGGGACTTCACACTGACTAATTTTCTTTACAATGGTGTGAGACAACATGTGCGAACTTGTTGCCAACTAGGGAAGCTCAGTCAGTCTTGAGTCCAGGGTTTTTATTAGGATTCCACCACATATGCATCGAACGTCCTGTGACTGAACTTAGCTACTTAGTTCCCAACCTCCCTATGCCCTAAGAGAGGTCATATTAATATGGCATTACACAAAGTCATAGGCATACAGAAACAGGTGCTCACAAGAAATCACGTTGTTAGCATCAGCTATTTGGTATGACCTACGTTTTCAGGTATACAAAGACTCTCATCAGGCAGCATATACCAAGGGCTCATAGGTTATCATCTCCCAGGAGCTTGTCAAGGGCCAGTCCTGAAGACCTTTGGAATGTGCAAGGTTTTGGAAAGCCATGTCTGCAGAATTAACCGTTCATTATACACCTTCCAAGAATTTTTTTATCTTTAAAAATGTTTTTTGATCTTTGACAATGTACCAACCAATACTGAGTAATTAGTAACAACAGTGTACTCCTGAGTACTTGCACCTGCAAGGAGAAAAAGGACAGATGCACTTACATAGGACAGATGCAAATAGACACCACGATGACAAGTAAAGCTGGAATAATCAATAAATTCCTAAAGACAAAGTGGGGCTGGTGAGATTGGGAGACCGCTGACAGCTGCAGAAGTTGGGAAAGATCCATCATCTTGAAAACGTTTTCCCCACAAACCCACTGTGATCTCTCAGGCAATTGGTAAGGAATCCAAGAGAGTCTGTATATGACACAGATCAGGGAGAGCAGAACACTTGGGAGGTGACCAGGTCTTGGGGGCCGAGCCCTTATGAATGGGATTAGTGCCTTTATAAAAGAAGCTCAATGGAGTTATTGTGTGCCTTCCACTGTCTGAGGACATAGAAAGAAGGCACCATCTATGAACCATGAAATGGGCTCTCATCAACACTGAATTTGTGAGCATCTTGACCTGAGATCTTACAGCCTCAAGAAGTGTGAAAAAAGAAATATCTGTTGTTTTTTAGTCACCCAGTTTATGTTATTTTGTTATAAGAGTCCAAATAGACCAAGATATTCCACTTAATATGTAGGGGAAGGCAACAAAAACTGGCACACTTAGAATACTCCTGATGCTGGGAGTATGAAAACAGGAAAAACAAAACAAAACTGCTCTTGAAGGTGAAGGAGGAATATCACTGAGCTCACCAACACAGCCAGGAAAAGAACAGAAGTGTGAGAAGGCTACATTCCTGAGACCCTGAGAAAAAGTACCTGCATAAGACTGAGTGAAATTACCTACTCTAGTTATGATTGAAATCCCAAAAAGAAAAGAGGAAAAAATAATGGAGCAAAAGAAATATATTTCAAAATAACTGCCAAAAATATTCTAAAAGAAGTGACAGAAAATCAAACTTCAGATATAGGAAACTCAGAGAATGTCAAATAGAACAAAAAGAAATAAGAATTCCATCTTGAAAAATCTTTAAAAAATCAAGTCTAAATTTTATATCTTGCTCCAAATATATAGAGATAGAAATAGGTTATCATCAAGATATGGAGAAAGCCATATCATGGAAACACTGAAATAAAGCTGTGGAAGGACTACATTGATATTAGACACAACAGAGTTCAGAACAAGAAATAGTATCAGAGATGAGAGATAATAGATAATATAATAATCAATTCTCAAGATGTAAACATCCTACTAATTAGGGTATGCAGCTAACAACAGAGCCTCCAAATACATGAGGTAAAACAGGAAAGAAATCAAAGGTGAACTAGAAAAACCCAAAATTATATTTGCAGACTTCAACACTTTTGTCTTAGTAATGGACAGACTAGGCACAAACTCAGTAATCATGTGGAAGATAAGAACAACAATATCACCAACAAGACATCCAATCTTCAATGGCAGATACTCTTTCCTTTCAAGTGAGAAAAAAACAGTATGGCATATTCTCTAACAAACCCAGAATTTCTAATATTTGCGTTCTTCCTTCCTTCTTTCCATCTTCCTTTCTCCTCTTCCCTTGCCTTCTTCCTTCCTTTCTTCTTTTCCGCTTTCTTTTCCTTTCATTTTTCTCCTTCCTTCCTTCCCCTTATTCTTCCCTCCCTCCTCCCTCCCTTGCTTTCTCCCTCCCTTTTCTTCCTTCTTTTCTCTTACTCTTTCTCACTTTCTTTCCTTTTTCTCCCTTCCTCCCTTTTTTCCTTCCTCCCTCCCTTTCCCTTCTCCTTCCTTCCTCCCTTCTATTTTCTTTGTTTGCCTTCCTCCCTTTTACCATTCTCTCTTCCTCCTTCCTTCTTTTCTCACTTTCTTTCTCTTTCTTTCTTGAGTTCTTGCTTTCTTTTTTCTCCTTTCCTGCCTTTCTCCCTTCCTCCCTCCCTCCCTTCTCTCATTTCCTCCTTTTCTTTCTTCTTTCCTTCCTTCCTTCTTTTTTCTTTCTTTTCTTTCTCTTTACTACAATCCATATTATTTAAAAAAAAATTAAGAAAGAGAGGCAGAAAAATAAAGATCACTTTAATCTTCAGGTAAATAGATTATGTCTGTTGTAGACAAAATAATGGCCTCCCAGAAATGTTCATGTCCTAATTCCCGGAGTCTAACATACAAATATGTTAGGTTGCATGGCAGTGGGAAGTCAGATTTCAAGTGAAATTAAGGTTCCAAAGGCAGCGGGGGCAAAAAGCCACGGCGGCAAAAAGGCGTGGCGGCAGGGGCAAAAAGCCACGGTGGCGGTTGGAGAAAGACGTGGCGGTGGGAGCAAAAAGCCGCGCTGAGGGGGGTAAAAAGCCACTGAGGGGGGGCAAAAAGCAGCGGGAGCGGGGGAAAAAAAACACAAAAATCCGCCGCGGCTGGGGGAAAAAGCCGTGGTGGCAGGGGGCAAAAAACCTGCAGCGACGGGGGCGAAAACCTACAAAAAGCAAAGGCGGTGGGGACAAAAAGCCTCGGCAGCGGAGGCAAAAAACCGCGGTGGCGGGGACTAAAAGCCGCGGCGGTGGCGGTTAAAAAAAAAGCCTCAGCGGCAAAAACCCACGGCGGCGGGGGCAAAAACCCGCGGTGGTGGGGGAAAAAACAGCGGTGGCAAAAAGCCGTGGAAGCGGGGGTAAATAGCCCCGGCTGTGGGTGCAAAAAGCCGCAGCGGTGAGGGCAAAAAGCCGTGGCTTCGGGGGCAAAAAGCTGCAGCGGCAAAAAGCCGTAGTGGCGGGGCAAAAAGCCGTGGCGGTGGGGGGCAAAAAGCCGCAAAAAGCAGCGGTGGCGGGAACAAACACCGCGGCGGCAAAAAGCCTCAGCGGCAGGGGCGAAAAGCCACAAAAAGCCGCGGTGTCGAGGGTAAAAAGCTGTGGCTTCGGGGGCAAAAAGCAACTGTGGCAAAAAACCGTAGCAGTGGGGCAAAAAGCTGCGGCGGCGGGGGCAAAAAGCAGCAGGAGCGGGGGCAAAAAAAATCACAAAATCCCGCTTAGACGGGGGGAAAATTCACGGGGGCAAAAAGCCGCTCTGGCGGGGGGCAAAAAGCCGCAAAAAGCAGCGGCGGCAGGGGCAAAAACCGCGGCAGCAAAAAGCCTCAGTGGCAGGAGCCAAAAGCCACGGTGGTGGGGGCAAAAAGCCGCGGTTGAAAAGGCCGCGGTGGTGGGCCCAAAAAGCCGCGGCGGTGGGGATAAAAAGCTGTGACTGCAAAAAGCCATGGCGGAGGGCCCAAAAAGCCACGGCGATAGGGATAAAAAGCCGTGGCAGGGGCAAAAAGCCACCGTGGCTGAGAGTAAAATGCCACAAAAAGCCGCGGCGGCGAGGGCAAAAAGCTGTGGCTTCGGGGGCAAAAAACCAAGGCGGCAAAAAGCCGTAGTGGCGGGGCAAAAAGCAGCGGGAGCGGGTGCAAAAAACCCACAAAAACCCGCGGCGACGGCGGGGGGAAAGCTGCGGGGGCAAAAAGCCACAAAAAGCAGCGGCGGCGGGGGCAAAAACTGCGGCGGCAAAAAGCCTCAGCGGCAGGAGCAAAAAGCCATGGCGGCGGGGGCAAAAAGCCGTGGCAGCAAAAAGCCACGGGGGCAAAAACCCGTGGCGGTGGGGGTAAAAACCCGTGGCTTCGGAGGCAAAGAGCCGCAGCGGCAAAAAGCCGTATTGGCGGGGGCAAAAAGCCGCAAAAAGCCGCGGCGGCGGGGGCAAAAAGCCACGGCGCCAAGGGCAAAAAGCCGTGGCTTCAGGGGCAAAGAGCCGCAGCGGCAAAAAGCTGCAAAAAGCCACGGTGACGTGGGGCAAAATGCCATGGCGGCGGGGGTAAGAAGCCACGGCGGCGGGGGCAAAAACCGCGGTGGGAGAAACCCGCAGTGGCGGGGGCAAAAAGCCGCGGTAGTGGTGATGAAAAGCCACAGCGGTGGGGGCAGAAAGCCGTGAGGCGGGGGAGAAAGCCGCAGCGGCGGGGGCAAAAAGGCACGGCGGCGGGTGCAAAAAGAGGCAACAAGCCCCGGTGGTGGGTCAAAGAGCCGCAAAAAGCCCCAGCGTTGGGGGTAAAAAGCCGCGGCGGCGGTGGCAAAAAGCAGCGGAGGCAAAAAACCCGCGGCGGTAGCGGCAAAAAGCCGCGGTGGCAGGGGAACAATAGTGGAAATGGGGTAGAAGGCCAACGGAGCTTGGCATTCCTGGACGGTGATGTGGAAGGAAAAGTGCAGCAGAAGACAAAGATGTAAGTAGGCTTGACTCAGTGCAGCTAAGAACTCAGATGTTATCTTGATGTTATCTATCAGCTAATTTTTTGTATTTTAGTAGAGAAGGGGTTTTACCACGTTAGCCAGGATTGTCTGGATCTCCTGACCTCATGATCCACGCACCTCAGCCTCCCAAAGTGATGGGATTAAAGGCATGAGCCACAAAGTGCTCAAAAAATCTATTAATTAAAAAATGTGTATGTAGCCGTCTTCAATCTACCATGTCCATTAGCAGATAAATACTACAAGTAAAATAACAACAATGAAATAAACATAGACTTAGAGTAGATACTCCGATTTATTTAATAAAAATTTGAAAGTAGACCAAATTATGATAAAAAAAAATCTGTTACTATTGAGGATGAGGGTTAGTGTTTGGAAAGGGGCAGGAGAGGTATCACTATTTTTAATAATGTTCTATTTTCGTACATGGCTATAAGCAAATACATGTGTTTCATTAATCAAGCTATCATATTTAATCATTGTACTTTTCTGCATGTGTATGTCAATAAAATGTCTTAAATTATATACAGCAAAAATAGACAAAACCACAACAAGACATACACGAATGTTAAACCTAGAGAGAAATTTGAATATAAGTAAGTCTCTGAATGACTGCTAGAACAAACCGAAAAATAATCAGGATGGAGAGCTTTGGAACAGCATGACTAGCAAAATTGACATATCTGTCTTTTAATATAGGCAGAAACATAGTTACATAAAAAAAGGACTTGTCTCAGAGTATGAGTTCTGAAAATAGTGGAATCGAGTTTGAATCTAGTAAGTACATATAAACAAATGTCTTAAAACTCCTCTTTTGTTAACTAATTAAGAAATATTATTGTAATAGATATTAGAAAATATTTTAATAAATTGAGTGGATTTCACACGCTAAGGAAATGATCTTACTTGCATTTGATAGTTCAATTAGATACATATATACCTATAAGTAGTTTAAAAAATTTCTAATAACCTTCTATACTTTTAAAAAGCATTGATATCTGTTTGCACTATCTGGTCTATAGAGTGATTATAGCTCTTCTGCTATAAACTTCAAATGTCTAATTAATACAAAAATCTAGAATGAGAAGAGTTCTTTGCCTTTTTTTTTTTTTTACCAAATAGAATATAGGAAGGATAGCTGCAAATATACCTGACACACTTATCTGTGAGTATGGTGGTAGCCTTTTTATTTTATTTTATTTTTGAGAGAGGGTCTCACTTTGTCACCCAAGATGGAGTGCAGTCATGTGATTAGAGCTCACTGAAGCCTTCACATACTGTGCTCAAGCAATTCTCCCACCTCAGCCTCCTGAGTAGCAGGGACTGCAGGTGCATAATACCATACTAGCTAATTTTTGTGAAGATGGGGTTTCACCATGTTGCCCTGGGTGATCTCCAACTCCTGGACTCAAGAGATCTGGCCACCTTGGCCTCCCAAAGTGCTGGGATTATAGTTTTGAGGCACTGCGATCAGCCCAGCCTTAAAAAAGGCTGACTAGAGATCTTTATCTATGTATATCTATATCTATCTATTAAAAAAGTGTTTATTATATAAAAATATATATTATTAATATTATATAAAAATTTTTTTTCAAGGTAGAAATATATAAAGAGGGTGCATGTAGAGCCTGGGTCATTGTGTAGTGAAGCTCAAGGCCTCTGAAGAAATGCCCCTTGCCTCTTTTGTCTGGGCTAGAATCCAAGAAGGGAAAGCAGCAGATGCACTGGTTCCCAGGTTCTTGGCATAATACAGAGAGAAACTTGTTTGAGCTAGGGTAGCGTTAAACACCCTTGTTCTTACTCTCCTGTTTTATGTAGTGAGCAGAGACTAGCTTCATGAGAACAGACTGTGACAGTCAAGGCTGTCTGATATTTTGTGCAGCATTAATTGAGAAATTCTAGCACCTGAAGACCTCTGGGCCATTTGAGGGTAGGTGCAGGGGAGGAAAGGGAAGTTTGCATCCCTCCTGCTGTGGAGAGAACCCGTGGGAAGCACAAACCTTGTCCTAACTGAAGGCAGACCCCCTTGCTAACCAGCTTCTCATCAGCCAACCCTGGATGAGTTTCCATGTCTATTTACTAAATAATCCTTATTGCTTTTCTTCATATGGGCAAAGTACGGTTTACAGGGAATATTGTTCCTTTGAACACCCATTGTGCAAACTCCTTCCTGTTGTGGGAAAACAGGCTTCCATATGTGTCTTATTGGGAAACACATAGGCAATTTCTATATTTTTACTGCATCTATTTCAGGGATAAGGGAACTGAATAGTGCCCATCAAAGGCTCACCTGATGTTGGAAATTGATCTGAGAGCGCGGAAGGACAGAATTCTTTCTTTGTTCCTGGGCAGCGGTGGTTGAGGGGTCATTTTGTGGCAGCTACAGTGGCAATGATGGAGGCAGAACGGAGGGCTCAGTACCAAGACGAGGAGAGACTTGGCCTCACAATGGCAGCATTGCAGGGGTGTGCTCTACAGAGCATTTGCTTACATGGTTTTGGGCATTGTTTCTAACTACATTGCTTCCCCAATAGGTTGACCCATTCTAAATAAATCCTTTTCTCTTTAAAACAGAAAACTTCATTTGTATGACTTGCAATTGTAAATGACACCAATTGGCCAGTTATCATTCAAATTCTCTGTTACTTAATCCTGCCTTTTCCTAACGTATGCAACTTTCCCCTAAAAAATTGGACACTTTGTTGCTTACTCATTGTCTTTACACATTTTAAAGTGTTGCTTTATGCCCCCAATCCCTACTACATTTTCGATGTTTTGCAAGTGGAGTCCATGTGTTCTTGATTTACATGAAGCTCAAAATAATGGTTACACTAACTAGTACTTCATAATTAAGCAAAAAGCTCTTATTGAAAAATGACAGAACTATACTTTGAGATGACAACATGGAGAGATATTTCCTGAGATCACAAAGTTATGGTATGGCAGAACTAGAACGTTGAGTAGAGACTCTGTGTTCCCAATCATTATTGCTATCACCAGCTTTCTATTTTGATGTTAATAATGTTCTTATGTGGGAAACCCTACATATTTGCCAATGTTTAGTTCATTGACAAAGAAATATAAAGAGCTTCAAGAACACTCTAATCTTTAAAAAATAAAATATCTATAATTGGCCATACGAAAAAATTGATACTTGACATATACAGAGATCGTTTTATTTTGTACTAGACAAATGAAGTCATAGAACAGAATGTGCTTTAAATATTATGAATAGTGCTTGTGTGTGTGTGTGTGTGTGTGTGTGTGTGTTTGTGTGTTTATACATGCATATTAGGCCGCTGAAAAGTTTTACTATTCTTTCCAGGAGAGAGACTGCCAACTTTTGAACCTAATTAGAACAAGTATATTGCTTCTTCATATTTTTATTAAGGCAAAGAGAGTCTAGTTAAAAATAATTCAACTTATCATGGAAACGCTGTAAATTGCTGTGAAGTGAGTTGCTGGCTATCGCTTGTCAGAGCAAATATATTGTACAAATCTTAGGGGAGAATTACTGCTTATGCATTCAAATCAAATCATCTTGCAGCACACTGAGAAAAAGTTTAGATTTTTAAAATAATTTCGAAGTCATGAAAAGAGCATATATGCTCAACAAAGAGCCTAGCAACCCTCAATGACCAATTCCCCTTTTATATAGTTTGGTATCTGAATTAGAATCTCAGAATCTACAAATTCCTCTGGGTATGGGTGCTGCATTTTGAGGATTTTATAACACTGCCATCACCAAGCTCTCTTTTGATATTCAATTTAAGGAGATAATTTGCGGGCAACCAGAGAGCATAAACCAAAGTAGATATCTATCTAGATAGATAGATACATCTCCATATCATTGACAGGATACCTTCTGGCCGAGTGTGAGTACAACCTATGGGTGTGGTTGGAGAGAACATGTGTTCCACCTGAATGGCAGATCAAGATTATTCCTTCTTATCTGCTGCAGTGGCTCAATGTGTTAAGGAGAGGAGCGAGACAGCAAGAACTGCATTCATTCAGTCATACAGACCAAAAGGAGGAATGTCGCCCAGCCCTCTAAACTGACCCAGAACCCAGCTCATGTCTCAACTGCTACCTCTACTACTTAGAAAGAAGTGACTCCGCCAAAGCAGGGTTCTGGACAAATATATTTTTATTGATCTTATACAAATAGATGAAGATGGACTTGGATGTTAAGAAAAATAATACTATACAAAATCAAGAGTAGACAGTCGCCCCTAGACTTAAATTAAAAGTGTGTACATTAGATAATTTAATCCAATGTATCAGGTAAAAACTTGAGCAAACCTTTTGGCCTCTTCCATAAAATTCAGGGAAGCATGTCCTCCACAAAACAGAATCAAAATATAAATGAAAGACTGGCTTAAGATGAAAGGAAACCTTATAAATGAAAAGAAGCCAGATGAGAGGCACTTAACTGATAATGAAAAAAAACTGAGTGGACAAAATAATTATGAGAAGATGAATCTTCAAATCAGAAAGAGGGAAAAAAGCTCATTTGATACTGTGGGAACTCAAAAGAGAGTGAACACAAATGTGAAAATTCCAACAGTACAGAAAAGTAGCATAACTAAATTAAGAGCATGAGAAAATGTATACAATTCTGAGTAATAAGAACAGAAATCAAAAGTTAGTATTGTATGTTATATTTTAGTAGAGCAACACTGAAGACGAATGAAAAGAAGAAATAATATTAAATATGAACATATGGAGAACAGAATAATATTTTTAAAATTTTTAGTTTCTAAGTTTACCTGAAATTTTAATTTTGGTTTCTTATGTAATACCAGAGTTATTAGGAAGGTATTAGCTAATAACACTATTTTCAGTGATATTTTAAGTATTTGTCCTAGAAAAATTTCTATTTTTTAAAAATGTATATTTAAAAATACATTAAGTGTGTACATACATCAATCATATGTATCGATTTCTTTTTTTTTGAATTGCAAATGAAATTTGTATTTTTGTTTTCCTGGAATAAAATAAACTTGAATGGATTGTAATATATTATTCATGCTGTAATTCAATGTATTTGAATTCTTTAAGAATGTTACATTTATAGTTAACAGATATTGACCTATAAATTTTCTTTCCTATAATGATGCTGTGAGACAATCTAAGAAGAATTAAAATTTAAATTCATGTATTCCTACTTTTTCCTCTGTTCTCTAACTGTAATATATTTTAATTACAGATATTTTAAGAACAGATAGATGTTAGATAAATAGGTATATAATAGATAGATCATCCAAAATTCTTATTCTTATGGTTTTATGTAGTCAGTATTTACCTCTATTTTTCTACATGTTTATCCTTCCAATTTAGTTCATTACTTCCTGCACCTTTGATGTCATATACATAAACAGGAAATAACACATGGTGGCCGGGTTGTAGAGAGAGCCACAGGACTTGTGAATAAAATCCACAGGCAAGGATGTGGCGATTCGTTTTGCAGTATTGGAGGGAATGCCAAACGCTATGTTTGCTGTGGAAAAGAGTATGGTAGTTCCTCAAAACATCAAAATGGTATTGCCATATGATTCAGCAGCGCCACATCTCAGGATAGCAAAAGAATTGAAAGCAGAGTCTTGAAAAAATATTTGCACATCCATGTTTGCAGCAGCGTTATTGGCAATAGCTAAAACGTAGAAGCAATTGAAGTGTCCAACAACAGATGAATGGATAAGCACAATATGATATAGGCATACAATGGAATATTATTCAGCCTTAAACATGAGGGAAATATTCTGACATATGTTGCAACTTGGATGAAACTTGAGGATATTATGCCAAGTGAAATAAGTTAGTCAGTGAAGGACAAATACAGTATAATTCCATTTGTATTAAAGTGGTCAGAATCATAGAGATGGTACAATGATGGTTGCCAGAAGCTGGGGGGAGGAAGAAATGGGGAAGTATTGTTTAATGGGTATAGAGTTTCAGTTTTACAAGATGAAAAGAATTATGGAGATGGATGGTAGGGACGGCTGCACAATGTTATGACTATATTTAGTACCACTGAACTGTACACTTAAAATGGTTAACAGAGTACATTTTATATGTATTTTACCACAATAAAAAAATAAAATACCTTTGGAACATTTTCATGAAAAAGCCCACATAAAATTCATTTTAATGCACGTGTTTATGCATAGCTTTCTATTTTTCTCTTTTCTCTTTATATTCCAAATTCTAATCAGAGAAGGGAATCCCCTCTGTACCTCCAGGATATTCAGTAAAGACCACTGGAGGTTCATGCCCTAGTAACAGTGCTCATTTAGCTCCAAATTACAGATGGCTCTAGACTCACTCCACAAAGTTTAAAGAGAAGATTTAAAACAACAACAGACAAATACTCATCCTGAAGTTACTGAACTGCCTGCCACAACATTGTTCAAAGGTAGCCAATAAAATCTAGATATTCAATAGCATAACATCAAAATACCCAAAAAAAACCTCTGACATGCAAAGAAGCCGTAAGATGTATATAATTAAGATATATATTAACAGGATAAAAATAAGTCATTTATAAATGACAGAAAAGAAGGAAATTTCAAGGTCCTTAAAGTAAATATATTTTATAAATACATATAGATAAATACATATATATGTCAAGGTACTTAAATGAAAATTGAACATAGGAGAAAAATAGAAGTTATAAAATGAAAAATGGGACATGTATAGATGAAAAAAATTTGAAATAAAAATTCCATGAGATTGAATAAGTAATGGATTTTACCCTAACATCAGAAAATTTATAGAAAAAAATAGAAGCTTTACAAACTAAAGGACAAAGGGTAAACTAAAGTAAGAAAGCCAGAAACTCACTGATACGTCAGACAATATGCAGCAGTGTAACATACGGGAGGATAGCTTTAGATTTCTAAGGGAGGGTATTATCCATTCATGAAGGTCCAACCCCATGACCAAACACCTCCCAGTAAGCCCCACCTGCAACATTGGGGATCAAATTTTAACATGAGATTGGAAGGGGCAAGCATTCAAACCATAGCAAGAGTTAAATTTCCTTTTTAAAAAAATCACTGATATGATTCCATTTCGCCATAGATAAAAGCTAGTATTTCAGCCTACCATTGAGTGTGCTTATAGCTCACCAAAAAGGCACTCTGTCTAGGGAATACAGATTTGCCTAGAGGTATCCTAGTGCAGTCAAAGAAAGAGCAATGAGGGATAGAAAAGGTTAGTGATGGAGACACCAGCGCTGCATTTTGCAACAAACAATGTAAAAATTTTACGGATTGGTTCAGCTAACTTACTACAGTTTACATTCCTCTCAGTTGGGAGAATTGTTGCGTTTTTTCTCAAGATAGAAAAGCAATTCAGATAATCTGAAATCTCCACAAGAAGGACAAGAAGCACAGCAGAAACTATTCTAGGCAGGAAGTCAATCCTTTCAACTGTCTGTGCTCCATAGAAACAATTGTCTGCACTGGGAGTCATATGAGGCACAGACAACAGCCAGACCTCTGATCCTCTCATTAGTGATTTCAGAAGAAATTACCAGTCAACTGAGTAATTCACTGAGTAAAGTAAACATTTGGCACTGAAAGAAGTTAGACGGATAACTATTTGTATCACCATATTCATGAAGCTGGAATATTTTCCATTACTGGTATCACATCCGAATGGAAGATGTTAAAAGGTCTCTCATCTTGTAAGATGGATATGAAAGAACATTTTCTGATAAATGAAATTATTAACACACCTGCGAGGTGGATGGAAGAGAAAAAAGGAATAATCAGCTTGAGTTCTTCTCCTTGATAAGACAACTCACTAAAAACATAAAGAGAAAAATACAAGTTTAAAATAATTAACCAGAAAAAGACGACTCTAGAGTTTTTAAATTGCTGATAAGATTTTAATTTGCTCCAAGTTGTAAGTAATTATATTGCTTGTGTTTTAAGGCACATAATGAGCAATTATATCACACATGATAGTTTCAGCAGTAAAAAATTATCCGTTAACAGCTGGAACTCATAAAAGCATAGCACAATGTGAAGATGGAATTTGCTAAAATAAACCATCTGCTGAAAACTACTATTCTGCAAATTTAAAAATAAAGTTTAAATGTTATTTGCCTTATTTAATAGGTCTGTGAAAAAATGCGCTATTTGAAAAGTAGGTGCTACCTTAATTAATTCTTTATATTAGACGGCTGGTTACAGTAATGCACAGTAAGGTGCTACATAGACATATTGCTAAATTTTCTGCATATACTATGTATTTGGCTTAAGTTATTTGAAATTTTATAGTTAAAATAACAAATGTATATTTAAATTTTTTGACACAAATTGCAAATATACCTTTAAAAAGCGTCTTACACTCTAAATATTATTTGTCACCTATATATTTGTCTTTTCTCTATAGGAAAGTTTAAATTTTTCCCTTGAAGCTTTAATTATTTGAGTCTATAAAACAAACTGATAATGTACAAATTAACAGGAAAAAAGGTTTACAGATATGTGCACAAGTATGCACTTGGAGTTTACATAATATATATAAATATATCTATACAAACATTTGTATATTATAAATAGATATACAAATATATACTATATATATAAAAACTCCAGGAAAGGCAAGGTAGTCAACACGCCTATGCTGTCTTGAGGTTACAGAAAACACAGAGCTGTAGGTTGGTAAATCAGGCTTTGCGGAAGACAGGTGACGGCAAGGAAGAAAGAGGAGCCTGGCAGCAGAGGTGGTCTTGTTACATGGATGAAACCTCAAAGGGAGCAGCCCTCCTCTTGGGAAGTATAGATAGGAAATGGTTTTTAGAAATCTAAACGTGCCAGGCTCAGTTAATCTTTCCTAAACCCAGACAAGGGAGTATCTCAGGGAAAGCCTGTCTATATCACTGCAGATTTTCTCTACAAATGCAAATCTCCCCAACAAACACAGCTTTTCAGCTAGTCTTGTAGAAGATGCTATCTCCAGTCTTCCGAGTAGCCATCTTGAAATATGTCAAAAAGTTGCCCAGGCGCACGCCTGTAATCCCAGCACTTTCGGAGGCTGAAGTGGGTAGATCACCTGAAGTCAGGAGTTGGATACCAGCCTGACCAACATGGTGAAACCCCGTCTCTACTAAATACAAAAAATTAGCCGATTGTGGTGGCACATGCCTGTAATCTCAGCTACTTGGGAGGCTGAGCTAGGAGAATTACTTGACCCTGGGAGGCTGAGGTTGCAGTGAGCCAAGATTGTGCCATTGCACTCTAGCCTGGGCAATAAAAGCAAAACTCCATCTCAAAAAAAAATGTATTTTAGGGTAATATTTTGAGTATCTTTACCTCCATATGTACAATAAATATTATTGTGATTTTTAATCTTTTCTGTGGAGAAAACACAGGTGTGATTTCTAGTGTAGCTGAACATCGTTTATTTGAGAATATTGCACTTGTGTGTGGGTGTGTGCGTGTGTAGCTACTCTTTAATTTGGTTCTCACATAATGATTAAACAATTAATTCAGTAAAATGTAGGTTTTGCAATATTTCTCCATGTTATTATGCTTTAAATTAGTTTAATCATGCCCCTATAATGTGTACATTTTAACCTTTGACTAGAGGTCTCAATCTTACTTTGGTTTCTGTATTTGAATTTATGCTAATAAAGTCCTACAGCTAAAAAAGATTATATAAACTTATCTACATTTTTACTAGTATTCTGGTGTCATTTTAAATTATGTAATGAAATCAAATTTTAATTTGGATTATTGTTATCTGAGTTAAGGATCTACATTTTTAATTTTATTATAAATATTACATAATTATTTCTGAACCATATGTTGACTAATCTGCCCTTTATATGATGTGCATTATGAGAGCTTGGGATTGTTTTATTTGCAAAGATGAATGCTTGAGAAGTAGATATTTAATCATAACATTTCAAAATCTACTGGATAACCTAGAATTGAAAAATAGCCTATAGGTTGAAAAACTCCTGTAGTGAAGAAAGAAAATAACTAATATACAGTGACAATATAAATATTATAAGTATTTATTTTATTATCGCCCTGAAATTTGATAATACAAACATGTAATATCTACGTATCATCCATATATCAGGTCATAAAAAGTCAATACATTCTTCAAAAATTTAGCATAACAGAAAATGCACTCTCTCTCCTTGACGGAATTAAGTTACCAATAAAAGTAAAAATAAGTAGATAAGTAGATGGAATTAGATGTTTAAAAACAAAGAAAAATATTTGTTTTGGATAACATAAAATCTCAATTGACAATTCCAATATTTCCAGAACTTTGCCTGTCAACTGGTGGAGAGTTTTCCCCAGGAGACATTTGTCAATGTCTAGGGTTATTGTGGGGATGTCAAGACTGGTGGAGGTGTGAAATTTAGAGGTCAAACGAAACACCTAGCATTGCTAGGGCAGCCTCCCACAACAAAGAATCCTCTGGTCCTAAAGGCAAGTAGCACCAAGGTTGAGAAACCATAATCTAGACAGTAAACACTACGTAGCTATT
Source organism: Homo sapiens (assembly GCF_000001405.40). NCBI lineage: Eukaryota > Metazoa > Chordata > Mammalia > Primates > Hominidae > Homo > Homo sapiens. The sequence continues at coordinate 43,299,970 of NC_000009.12, read as the reverse complement.
CCAAGTGCTCAGGAAAACACATCAGTGCCCTCGAGGGGAAAAGTGTGAACATTTTAATTGCCGTACATGGTGACACAAATCCATGTTGTTAATCTAAGTGGAAGGTGCTGAAGCACAAAACATAATTCAAAGAGTTTACTTGAGCCAAAATGAGGACAGCTGCCTGGAAGAAACAGACCCAAGTATCCTTAGATATGAACTCCCTTTGGAGCTTTGCAACAAGCAGTTTCTTAAAGGCAAAAAAGGGTCCAGAAGTGGGATGATGCAAAGAGGTTTGTCACAAATTCTCATTGGCTTATGGAAATAACATTTATTAGTGACTGGCTATACACTGTTACACTATTATTGGGTGTGGATTATAGAGTCTGGTGTGGCGTTATTGGTTAATTTATAGCTACTGTGGCAACAGCAAGCAGCCTAGATGAACACACAGCTCAAAGAGGAGCAGGACAGAACTGCTGTCTCATTTGAATATCTCTCTGGGCCTGATTATTTAAAAGGACTTGCATTTCTCACATGAAAGTTATTTTCTTTTCTCAATGTCCATAAATGAGAATAAATAGATGTAAAATAGATCTTTTCGAGGATGAAGTAAATGGAATGAAAAACAAAACCCAAGCTGACCAGAAATCATAGAGGGAAGAAAAGGTTATAAATATATGGATTTTTCAAAGTGATTTTAAGCTATTAGGAATCAGTTAAATGTTGGGGGATTTTGTCTGAGAATGGGCTAAAGGAGAATGTCCCTTTTGCCTTCTGAAGTTTCCCTGAAAATCACTAATAGGAGGCAGATAAATAGTAGAAAAGGCATACAGGTTTCTGCAATGTGTGTACACTGGAGACCTTAGAACGAAGACCCAGACACACGATGCGTGCAGAAGCTTATCTACCACATGAAGTTTACAGAAAGAATGGGTTCTTGGATCACAGGGAAAAAAAAAAAAGGTTATGTGAGAAAACGACCCTGGCTAGCAACAGTGGGCTTGTTACATAGGTGGAACCTCACTGGGAGCAGTCCTCAGAGAGAATAGACAGAAAATGTTTCTTTCAGACCTTTGGAGACCTCAGACTCTCAGTTAACCTTTCCTAGATCCAGACAATGGGGCAGACCTCAGAGAAAGCCTGGCTGCATCAAGGCAGATTCTCTACCGATGCAAATCTCCCCAAGACACCTTCGCAGCTAAGTTTGCATTTCCAGCCCTTCTCAATAGCCATTTTGAAATATATCAAGGAAATATATTTAGGGGTAAAATATATTAGTTTCCTTCATACAGCTATAAAACATACAGGAATAATTTTTGTCAATGTCTACTACAAATCCAATATAGCAGTAATTATAAAACCCACCAGATATTGAAGAAAAAATATGTAGAGTACATCAATTACAAATGTTGATACTAAAATGCCAAATAAAATAAAAATAATATCCAACAATATTTGAAAGAGTAAGACAAGAAATTGGCAAAAAAAAAAAAAAATATATCCACCTTGGGGATGAAAGTGTGTTTCCAAATTTGGTAATCCGCTAATATTAACAATCATATTGATTAGCCCAAATTAAAAATAAATAGGGGATTCTCAGTACATGCTAAAATATATTAGTGAAAAGGCAATATTCATGTCTTTAAAGATTTTAAATGCTATAAAGAGTCTGATATTCTATATGCAAACATGTGTATGTCCATTAGAAGAATAGAGGCCTGATTTTCATATGTTACTACATAGAGATAGAGAAGTGGATAGATTAATTTGCATATGCATAGAGAAAGCATAAAATAGAAATTTACTATCATATTAAAGGAATTTTAATTCAACAATAAAATAATTCAAAGGTAAAATTTTAAATATTTTTAACAGGTACATTATTAATATTAGATAATATTTATAATAATTGTGAAAATATTCAATGCTAAAATAAGATACAATGTCTAAACATCAGTATTAAAACTAGTATAAATATTTGCTTGTTTATACAAGGAAAATTCAGGCTCGACCTAAAATTATATAGGAAATAAAAGAAAAATTTTAAGGGAGCTCTTTAATAACATAAACTTATATATATATATATACACACACACACACATATAACATGTATATATGTTATATGGGATAGATATAGATTTAATAGTTTATATCTATATTTGTATCTATAACTACAGCTGTATGTATCTACATTTCTATATATTTACTCAGTGATATAAATATAGACTGGAATAAATATAAAGACACATATGATTCTTGGATAAAAAGGATTTAGTATCATAAAGACAAATTCTTTCCAAATTCAATTATGAATTCACAACAATATACAGTTTCATTAGTATAATTTAAAATTTTTAAATAAATTCCAAGATTCATTTAAAGGAATATACATGTATACAAGCAGTCAAGAAAGAAGCAAGAGTGCACTAAACTAACTTGCTATTAAAATACATTTTTAAACTTAGTAACTAAAACTGAGCAGTACTGATTTGGAGTACTGGAATTTAGGCATATGGGATCTCAAAAGCACAGAGCTCAAAGGAGACCCCTGTATGCACGAGAGCTTAGGATGTGCTTTAGAAGGCATTACCAAACCACGGGCAAAGTTACTTTAGTGTCTTAGTCTTACTAGGTTTGGAAAGCCAGAGAAAAGACTCAAGACCACCATATAAGAGTAAAACAAAAGGACAGGGAGAGAATGTGAAGATATTGAAACATTTTACATAAAGTTGTATAAAACATCCTTTAAAGAAAATATAAAGTTTAGGATATACTTCAAAATCAGCAGAGCCACTAAATAAATAAATAGGCATTGTAAAATAGCAAGAGAAAATTTAAATGGATTTCTAAAAAATATTGACACCTATGATTTTTAAAATATGTTTAAGAAATCCCGTATTTCACAGGGCAGCCTTTCACAACGCAGATATGTTAGGACAGAACGGTCTTTCTGTTTTTAATTTACTAGTGTTTATAGGGTTACAAATGTCTTCTACCCTTGTCTTTTGTCTGATGGTGCAAAAAGTTTTCATAAGCATGTATTTCTGAATGCCTGATGGATTCACATATATAATATGCTGCTAGTATTAAAATATGTGACGGAAAAGGCATCCAATCTTCTCACTGTTTACATAAATTCTAGGTTTCTCCTATTTACCTCAAGCACGTATGGAGCGAATTCTTACCTTTTAATATTGCCATGGCATTCACATTGAACATAAGTTGAACTCTCTCATATGGTAGCTGGGTTCAGATTCCCTTGACAATTTCCAGTTCTAACCCTCACAGTTCCTCAGTGTGGCTGGCCCAGATATTGACCCTACACAGTTGCCTCCTCCTGGTGACTACCAGCTATGGAACCGTTGGATACAACCTACTTGACTCACCCCAGAGACCTCACAGCGCACATGGACAGCCCCCACACGCCAGAGTGACCTGCTTGGTTACAGCGGGAGTCAAGAAATGTGCCTGCTGGCACTCACCCCACCAAGTAGTGCCCTGTGGAAAACTTATTTGGGTAATGTTCTGGGCCCAATAAAAGCTAGAGTCCCACAGACCCCTTTTCTCTCTCCTGCTCCCGACTCATCTTCCCCATTTTGTTCAACCCTATGAGGTGTGCTACTGTATTAGTCCATTTTCACACCACTGGTAAAGACATGCCCAAGACTGGGTAATTTCTAGAAGAAAGAGGTTTAATACACTCACAGTTCCACATGGCTGGGTAGGCCTCACAATCATGGCACAAGGTGAAAGGCACGTCTCACATGGCAGCAGACAAGACAAGAGAGCTTGTGCAGGGAAACTCCTCTTTATAAAACCATCAGATCTTGTGAGACTTATTCACTATCAGAAGAACAGCATGGGAAAGACCTGCCCCCATGATTCAATTACCTCCCACCTGCTCCCTCCCACAACATGTGGGAATTCAAGATGAGATTTGGCTGGGGACACAGCTAAACCCTCTTCTCAGCTACCCTCCTCTCTCTGGATCTGTGAGTAATAAACCTACTTCTGTGATTTCCCATGTTTGGTTCTGTGGCCTCCATGTGTCTGAGCTGACCTACACTGGAACATAACTCTCCTCCTGGCCAGGGTCTCTGAGAGTGGCTCTTGTCAGAAATACACAGGACACAGGTCAGGCAACAGTCACCAGGCATCTCCTAGTCTCAACAGATGTTCTGTGAGAGGGAGGCCTGGTCGTGGGATGCACACCTGGCCACTGCTGGAGTAAGGAATTGTCCTGTGAAAGGCACATGTTAAGCATCCACAACCCCCTGACCAGAACCCCAGAAAGGCAGGGCTCCAATTGACGGTCACTCTCCAGAGACAAACCTCAAGCCCTAACTGGAGGAAAAGAAAACAATGTAAAAGTTGAATTTATCTTACTATTTCAATGATCCAGTAAAGACATTCTATGCCTGTACACCACATATTTTCTTCGATTGTGGATTTATTTTAGATAGAATTTTATGTCTGGCTTTCACTTTAGCCTGGTCCTTACCTCAAGCATAAGGTAAAGATTTTCCATGGGTTCTTTTCTGGTACTACTACCTGCCAGTGTGGGGTCATGTCCTAGTCTATCTTGAGGGAATCCCCCTGTTCATTATTGTCAGAGTGAGACTGTTAAGTCTTGATTTCCCTGGACAACTTCACTGCATGACTTTTAATATGATTTTTTAATATACCCTTTACTGGACAATAAATTATATAGTTATCTGGATAAGAGATATGGTCAGGAAGAGGCATTGCCTCATTCAGCTTTTCTCTTTGGTGAACTCGCATATGTTCTCCTCACCCTCCAGTCACCTCTAAACCGTATTGTTCCAAGACAACAAACAGAACTCGAGTGTGTATCTTTCACCACTGGATTTGTGTTTGCTCCATAAAGCTTCATGCTTAATAGAGTTTCTGTTAGCATTTTCTCTATTTATTTTCCCATAAAATATCACAGGCCTTCTTCATATGGAATTATGGGTGATTTCCTTCAATCTGCATCATATCAAGTTGAGGTTCATGTTGATGAAAAGTAAAACATACATTGAAAATATCAGTAATGATGTTTTCCCCTCCTTTTTAGCACCTGTGCTTGTGATACAAGCACATTTTCATACAATTGTAGTCTCATGCTTTGATCATTCCTATGATGAAAATAACATTTTTAGATAAAATATCTGAGTTTTATGAGGCCTTTAGTATGTGATGTGATAGAATATCAGAAGACCATAATTTTTTCTAGTTTTCCATGCAATTCTATCATTGTTTCATCTTTATTCCTACCAGAGTAATTTTCCAAAATAGATATCTTGTCATTCTTCCGTTGTTATCAGTAAATAAGTGAAATGAAAAGCTAGATTATATAATTTATCTAGAACAAGAAAGTAGAATTGAATCTATATTCATTAATGAGACTAACCAGTCAATTACACAGATAGGCATTTTACATTTTGAAGATCATATGGTCCCATCTTCAGAAATATTATTTATGTCTATATGGACATCACCTGTGCATATTTACATAGAAATCTAAATGAGAGCTGATTTTTATTTTTATTATATATATTTTTTGAGATAGGGTCTTGCTTTGTTGCCCAGGCTGGATTGCAGTGGTGCAATCACTGCTCACTGCAGCCTCAGCCTCCCAAGCTCAAGCAATCCTTCCACCTTGGCCTCCCAAATAGCTAGGACAACAGGTGCACATCACCATGCCAAATTTTTTTTTTTAACTTTTGATAGAGACTGGGTCTTTCTATGTTGCCCAGGTTGCTTTTGAACTCCTGGGCTCAAGGAATCCTCTCATTTCAGCCTCTTCAACTGCTGGTATTACAAGCATAAGCCACCATATGGGCTGGAAGCTGATTTTTAAAATACTGAGATCATATAGATGACAGCACCTGAAAAATAGACAACACCAAGCTTTATGTTAAAAGGTGTGAGGGTATCAATATTGTTGTGGCTATTGGGGAGGAAAACATTAGTAAAACCAGTAAGTTAAAGCTCTTGCTTTAAACTTTGGCTTTAATTTAACAAATGTTCTATGGAGTGACAGTATGTATGTAACCATGCTATGCCCATTCACAGATGCAGTAGAGGGAAGAATTTCTCAAAGACAACTGTTCTAAGACTCAAATTAAACTGTACTGGGTTTGAAAAGAGAAAGTCCAGGAATTACCAAATATTTTAGATATCAGATAAAAGGGAATGCCAGGTGTGCGATGATAATCAGCAATGGTTGTTCACACAATAGATCAAATCAGTATTTGAATTAGCTTTTGAATTACAAGGACAAATGGATCAAGTCTAGACTCTTTAGTAGATAAATTTTATTAGGCTGAGATGTGTTTTCCCCTGTTTTTCCACAAGGAGATTACAAATTTGCAAACCTCAGCTGCTCTCATTTTATGCTCTCACCAAGCCAAAAGCTGAAGTTCATCAATCAGTGTGTCTAAGTGTTCACTGGTTATATACCATTTTGTAGTTTCAGGTATCTTTCCAACTTCCTAAATCATCACCTTCATTTGATCTTGTTTTTTTCCACTATCACTTCTTTATTGACCATATAAAGAATATAAGTGAGTTCTTATTTTGTTATTGTTCATTTTAGTCTAATTTCATCAAAATATCACAATCTTTTCATTTCATTTTAATTTCAAAGATTAAATGAAACCTACATAGAAATGAGTGTAAGATTTGCATTTGCATTATTTTGGCATCAATTTGCTATCCTCCCTCATGCACATAGAGATCATTTCCACGTACGTGATTTCAAACATCCAAGTGCAGTATTAAAAGCAGTTGTAAATTATGGTTCTCATTTTCATGATACAATTACAATATAAACTTCCTCTTGCTGCTGTAACCAATTACCACAAACTTCATATCTTACAATAAAGTGACCGTTAATCCTACAGTTCTGTAGTTCAGAAGACTTGAATGAAACTCACAGGGCTAACATCAAGTTTTGGGCAGGGCTGCAGTCTTTCTGAGGGCTATGTGGCAGAATCTATTACTTGATTTTTTTCAGCATCCAGAGGCCACCTTTATTCCTTGGAACATGACCTCATTCTTATATCCTATTTTTCTTTTTTTTTTTTTTTGAGATGGAGTCTCCTTCTGTCACCCAGGCTGGAGTGCAGTGGCATGATCTCAGCTCACTGCAACCTCTGCCTCCCGGGTTCAAGTGATTCTTCTGCCTCAGCTTCCTGAGTAGCTTGGACTACAGGCACTTGCCACCATGCCCAGTTAATTTTTTGTATTTTTAGTAGGGATGGGGTTTCACCATGTTACCCAGGATGGTCTCGATCTCCTGACCTCGTGATCCACCCACCCCAACCTCCCAAAGTGCTGGGATTAGGCGTGAGCCACCGCGCTGGGTCCTCATTCTTGTATCTTAAAAGTCAGTGATGTTGAGTAATTTCTCATGCCACCACCTCCAAGGTTGCCTTTCTTCTGTCTTCTTCTTTCACTTATAAGGATGTTTGTGATTTCATTGATCCCAGCCATTTAAGACAATCTCTCTATCATTTTTCCGCAACCTTAATTTCACTTGAAATCCAATTTCACACTGCCGTGAAATCTAACATATTTGTATGTTAGACTCTGGGAATTGGGACATGAAAATTTTTGGGAGGCCATTCTTTTGCCTACAGCAGACATAATCTATTTACCTGAAGATTAAAGCGTTCTTTATTTTTCTGTCTCCCTCTCTTAATTTTTTAAAAATAATATGAATTGTAGTAAAGAGAAAGAAAGAAAAGAAAACAAAGAAAGAAAAAGAAGGAAGGAAAGAAGGAAGGAAGGAAATAAAGAAAGAAAGAAGAAAGAAAAGAAGGAGGAAATGAGGGAAGGAAGGGAGAAAGGCAGGAAGGGAGAAAGGCAGGAAGGGAGAAAAAAGAAAACATGAACACAAGAAAGAAAGAAGGAAGGAAAGAAGAAAGAAAGAGAAAGAAAGAAAGGAAGAAGTGAGGAAGAAAAGGAGGAAGAGAGAATGGTAAAATGGAGGAAGGCAAAGAAACAAAGAAAATAAAGAGGTGAAGGAAGGAAGGAAGGAAGGAGAAAGAGGAAAGGAAGGGAGGGAGGAAGGAAGAAAAGGAGGGCGGGAGGAAGGGAGAAAAAAGGAAAGAAAACAAGAACGTGAGAAAGAAAGAAAGAATACGAGAAAAGAAGGAAGAAAAGGGAGGGAGAAAGGAAGGGAGGGAGGAGGGAAGGAAGAATAAGAGGAAAGAAAGAAGGAAAGAAGGAAGGAAGGAGAAAAAAAGAAAGAAAAGAAAGAAAGGAAAAGAAAAAAGAAAAGGAAGAGGAAAAGAAGAAAGGAAGGAAGAAGGCAAGGGAAGGGAAGAGAAGACAAAGGAAGATGGAAAGAAGGAAGGAAGACCGCAAATATTAGAAATTCTGTGTTTGTTAGAGAATATGCCATACTGTTTTTTTTTTCACTTGAAAGGAAAGAGTATCTGCCATTGAAGATTGGATGTCTTGTTGGTGATATTGTTGTTCTTATCTTCCACATGATTACTGAGTTTGTGCCTAGTCTGTCCATTACTAAGACAAAAGTGTTGAAGTCTGCAAATATAATTTTGGGTTTTTCTAGTTCACCTTTGATTTCTTTCCTGTTTTACCTCATGTATTTGGAGGCTCTGTTGTTAGCTGCATACCCTAATTAGTAGGATGTTTACATCTTCTTGAGAATTGATTATTCTATTATCTATTATCTCTCATCTCTGATACTATTTCTTGTTCTGAACTCTGTTGTGTCTAATATCAATGTAGTCCTTCCACAGCTTTATTTCAGTGTTTCCATGATATGGCTTTCTCCATATCTTGATGATAACCTATTTCTATCTCTATATATTTGGAGCAAGATATAAAATTTAGACTTGATTTTTTAAAGATTTTTCAAGATGGAATTCTTATTTCTTTTTGTTCTATTTGACATTCTCTGAGTTTCCTATATCTGAAGTTTGATTTTCTGTCACTTCTTTTAGAATATTTTTGGCAGTTATTTTGAAATATATTTCTTTTGCTCCATTATTTTTTCCTCTTTTCTTTTTGGGATTTCAATCATAACTAGAGTAGGTAATTTCACTCAGTCTTATGCAGGTACTTTTTCTCAGGGTCTCAGGAATGTAGCCTTCTCACACTTCTGTTCTTTTCCTGGCTGTGTTGGTGAGCTCAGTGATATTCCTCCTTCACCTTCAAGAGCAGTTTTGTTTTGTTTTTCCTGTTTTCATACTCCCAGCATCAGGAGTATTCTAAGTGTGGCAGTTTTTGTTGCCTTCCCCTACATATTAAGTGGAATATCTTGGTCTATTTGGACTCTTATAACAAAATAACATAAACTGGGTGACTAAAAAACAACAGATATTTCTTTTTTCACACTTCTTGAGGCTGTAAGATCTCAGGTCAAGATGCTCACAAATTCAGTGTTGATGAGAGCCCATTTCATGGTTCATAGATGGTGCCTTCTTTCTATGTCCTCAGACAGTGGAAGGCACACAAGAACTCCATTGAGCTTCTTTTATAAAGGCACTAATCCCATTCATATGGGCTCGGCCCCCAAGACCTGGTCACCTCCCAAGTGTTCTGCTCTCCCTGATCTGTGTCATATACAGACTCTCTTGGATTCCTTACCAATTGCCTGAGAGATCACAGTGGGTTTGTGAGGAAAACGTTTTCAAGATGATGGATCTTTCCCAACTTCTGCAGCTGTCAGCGGTCTCCCAATCTCACCAGCCCCACTTTGTCTTTAGGAATTTATTGATTATTCCAGCTTTACTTGTCATCGTGGTGTCTATTTGCATCTGTCCTATGTAAGTGCATCTGTCCTCTTTCTCCTTGCAGGTGCTTGTTTTCCCTCACATTTTGACTCAGTTCTTGGCAACCTCATTGCTATAAAAATAGAGTCATGACTTTGAAGTCAGTTAGTTTGGTTCTTTCATTGTTGTCAGGTTAGGAACCCTATTCCATCCCAGATCTCCAAAACCCAGACTTTTTGGGGGGTTGAAATTTTAGGCTTTCTCTTTGAATTGTAGTTTTATCTTCTTTCAGTTGCCATTTGCATTTTCATAATGATAAATGAGACTAAGCTTTTTTTGTGTAGTTGACTGTACCTTTGGATTTTTTTCCCAAATACCTTTTTATTTCTTCTTTTCTTTATGGTTTTAGAAAATGTAGTTTAGATAATTGCAGCTTGATTTTTTACTCAGTTAATGGCATGCTTAATGGAGAGAAAAAATATTAAATATATTTCCCTTTTTAATTACTGTGCTTTTTTCTTTTTTAAGGAAATGTTTCATTATGTTAAATTTCAGTGTTATTCTACTTAGCTATTCCTTAAATATTATAGTATTTTGGAATTTCACATGTAAATTTGTAACATATCTTGAGTTTATTATGTATAGAGTAAGGCTATTTTCTCTTTTTTTAAGGTAAAAATCACATAATATAAAATTAATAACAACCATTTTAAAGCATACAATGCACTTGCTTTTAGTATATTCACAATGTTCCAGGGCAATTTCATCATGTCCCTTCCAAAAACCCATTATGCATAAAGTTGTTACACCCTATTCTGCTTCCCTGAGCCGTAATGACCACTAATCTAATTTATATCCCAATTGATTTGCCAATTCCTGATGTTTCATGTGAATAAAATCAAGTAATATTTGTACTTTTGTGCACTTAACATAATGCTTTCAAATTTCACCCATATTATAACATATATAAGTACTTCATTCTTTGTTATAGCTGAAAATTGGGTGTCCGTTTATGAGTCAACAAGCATATGGATTGTTTCCACTTTTTGACTGTATGAATATTACTGCTGTAAATATTCATGCACGTTTATTTTTTGAGCACCTATGTTTTGTAAGATTAACAGCTGACTTAAGATAAACAATGGAAGGCAAGAGGCAGTAGAATAATATATTCAAAAGATGCAAAGGAAAAAAAACTCTCAGCCACGAATTCCTTATCCAGCAATTATTTTTCAAAAACGAAGATAACACAAAGACTTACCCAGATAAACAGAAATATTAACTGAAGTTGTTGCTGGCAGGCCTACCACATTAAAAAAAACTCTAAAATAAATTCCTAAGGCTAAAAGCAAGTTACAGAAGACAGTCACTTGAATCCACATTTTTAAAAAAGCACTGGTATAGGTAATACTGACATTATAAAAGACAGTAAAAATGCATTTTTTCTCTTTATCATAAATTGTTTATTAAATAACATGTGTATAATGGCCGGGCACGATGGCTCACACCTGTCATCTGAGCACTTTGGGAGGCCAAGGCGGGCATATTACGAGGCCAGGAGATCGAGACCATCCTGGCTAACACAGTGAAACCCCGTTTCCACTTAAAATACAAAAAATGAGCCGGGCGTGATGGCGGGCGCCTTTAGTCCCAGTTACTCGGGAGGCTGAAGCAGAAAAATGGCATGAAGCTGGGAAATGGAGCTTGCAGTGAGCGGAGATTGTGCCACTGCACTCCAGCCTGGGTGACAGAGGGAGACTCCGTCTCAATGATAATAATAATAATATGTGCATAATGTATTGCTGAGTTTTTGACATGTAGAAATGTAATACGTCTATAACATATTTTCCAGTAACATCAAAAAGGAGGTAGTTGGAAGAAAAATGTATTGTGATAAGGTAATCACTCTAGATGGTAAAGTAATAATTACTAAAATGTATTGTTGGCTTTGTAACTTTAATAGATGTAATGTGTAAAGTGATAATACTTTAAAATGGAGGAAATAAAAGAGATTTATATAAGAATGATGTTTCTATGTATTACTAAAAGTTTACTAGTATAAATTGGAAGATGATTTGAATAATTAATTTTCCATATACCTATATGGTAAACTTACAACAACAACAGAAATTCTCAAACATATATAATAAAATAATTCATTAGTAATCTAAAGTTCCCTAGTTTAGAAAATATTCTTTCATTGCAAAATAAAGCAATAAAGAAAAATATTTGAGAAATATATAAAACAAACGGTAAAATGGCAGACATAAATAGAATTATACCAATTATAATCTTAAATGTGAGCAGATTAAAATCCATTCCAGAGGCAGAGATTGTCAGACTGGATTAAAACAAGTGATCCCAATATACGCCGAGATGCAAGGATACTAATGGATTGAAAGTAAAAAGATGACAAAAAATATCATGCAAAGAGCAATCATAAGAACACTGAACTCATTATACTCATAACACACAATATAGACTATTAAAAATGTGAATAGGATTTTAAAAATTTATATTGTAGTAAAAAGGGGGTCAACGCTTTAGGAAGACATAGCTATTACAATCATGTATGCACAGATATAAGCTAAATTGTTTCCTCTATATAGATGTTGAAATTCTAACCACTGAATATGACCTCATTAAGAAATAGGTTCTTTGCAGCTGATCAAGTTAAGATACAATCAGATGCGCCTGAATTCAGTATGACTGATGTCCTTATTAAAAGAAGAAATTTGAGTAGAGGGAGACATACACACAGGGAGAGTACCATGTGATTATGAGGGCAGAGATTAGCCAAGGAATGCCAAAGACTGCCACTAAACCATCAGAAGTGAGAAACAAGGCATAGAACAGGCTTTCTCTCATAGCCCTTGAAGGGACCATCCCTCCTGACTCCTCAATCTCAGAATTTTAGCTTCCAGGACTATAAGACTATAAATGTATGTTGTTCATGGCACCCAGTTTGTGTTACTTGGTTATGGCAGCCCTAGAAAACTAATACATGAACTAATAACAAAGCATAATAACATGAAGCAAAAATTGACAAAAGAGGAGCATCAGCAAAATGTCAGTGGAGACAGCTGCAATCTTTCATTTCCCCACAGAAACATCACACAACTAAGAGAAACTGTCCGAATAAACTTTGCCAAAACTCTGGAAAATAGTCAAAAGATTACAACAACTGAGTGAAAGCAGACTCAAGAAAAAGGCAACTTGAAAACTTTATGACATTTTTAACTTGCCTTTGCCCCAGCAAATTGGCAGTTTTGAAGTGTCAGAAGCCCACGTTCCCAGTGAGGAACACTGGTCCATGGTCCAAAGGAACAAGAGAAGATCTTACCCGCCAATTACTATGTGTCTGTTCTGACTGGTCTGGGGGATACCTAAAGGACTCATGAAAGGCTTTTGTTTTTCTGTGTTGCTAGAATACAGAACAGATAAGGAATGGACATTATCAAGAAACTCTGCAAGGAGACCTAACAAACCACAGATGCTTAGGGCAAAAATTAGAGTTTACACATATAGTAGATCACCTTCAGCACAGGAAGAAAAGTTGGAGAAGAGTATTTGGAAAACTAAGACATTCAAAATCATTCACGTACATGGGAGAGTCTAGAAAGTCACTTGTATGCATAGGTTAAGCCACATGCTGACAAATGTCATAAGAAGACCCTACGCTTTTACCTTGGCCGATCCCTCCCCTCAGTGCAAGCTATGTGCAAGGGTGAACTTGAACTTCACTCAGCGCAAGAGTGAACACACACTTTGTCCCGGCTTTAAAGAACCCAGCACAAAGCCAGTCTGCATGGCCTAGAGACATATTTTGCTGGACAATGATTACTTTTTTTCTTTTTGTTTTTGTTGTATTTGCCTGTTTGCTTACTTCCTGACATACAAGAAAATCACTGTCAAAACATTAGCTTAACATTTGTTAAGGAAACAAAAAGACTTCGGTGACCACACCTTATAAAGCAAACAGTTTTGTAAATCACTTTGGAAAATTTCACTAAAAAAAAAATCCTTAACAATATTATAAGTAAAGAAAATTTAAAACCCCAAAACATTACTGTGTTTGTGGGGGAGGGTCTGATTTACAGAGTAACCACATAGTAATTATAATTATTATAATGCCCAGTTTCAAAAAAATTTACAAGGCATACAAAGAACGGAAAATTATGGCTCATTCAAAGGAACAAAACAAACTGACAGAAAATATCTCTAAGGAAACCCAGACTTCAAACTTACTAGACAAAGACTTTAAAACAACTCTCTTAATTATACTCAAATGTCACAAGGAAAACATAAACAAAGAAATAAAGGATTCAGAAAAAATATTAAAAAGTAGGAATATCAACAGAGATAGCAGAAATTCTGGAGTGGAAAACTACAATGATAAAAATTTAAAAATCACCAGAGGGATTTAAGAGTATATTTGCACACACAGAAGAAGTCATGAGCTTGAAGATAAGAAAATGGAAACTATTGACTCCGAGAAACAGATAAAAAATGAGCAGAGACTAAGGAATCTGTGGGACATCATCAAATAGACCAACATTCATATTCTAGAAGGATAAATTATGTTGTTGAAAACTTTAGCATTCTTTCTTTTCACCTTTCTTTCTTCCTCCCTCTCCCTCCTCCTCCTTTTTACTTTTCTTCCTCTTCCTTTCTCTTCTTCTTTCTCTCCTTCATTATCCCTTTCGCTCTGTCTCTCTTTCTCCCTTTCTCTTTTTTCTTTTCTTTCAATTTTCTCCATTACTAAGAGATGTTTGAATACTCTTACCATGTGAGTTGATATGGTTATTTCTCCCTTTAATCCTCTTTTGAGATTTATAGTCTCTCTAAGTAAAGAGATAACCCAAACATAAGCCTCACAAACAGGCTTCCATACCATTCTTAATTTGGTCCTGTAATTCTTCATTGCTGTATTAACTTTCTGATGCTTTTAAGGATGTTTTACAACAAATTGTTTAGTTTTTTCCACTGGAATGTTTATTCTCAATTATCTAATTCATATTGTAAGTATAGAGGGAGTTTAATATAAAATTATTAAACTAATATTTGTGAAAGAACGTATTTGTGCATTTAACAAATATGTTAATCCTCAGACTGTTATTGGGCAGCTGAGCATGCAGCAATAAAGATAACATAATTTTTATGTGTACAATATTTATGGAATACGTTACTGGAACAAATAAATAATTTAGTTAATAACATGACAAAGAACAGAAATTGTATACACTATAGAGCATAGTAATGGAATAATGAATGATTAAAGTTATTAATATTAGGTAGAAAATGAAGGTTATCTTTGAGAGCAGGACTCGAGGAAGCAAGCAATTCGCCTTATGAGGAAAGAGTTACCTGTGGATAAAGGAGAAACTGAAAAATTTACAAGTCAAGATTTTTGAGCAAAAATAAAAATATGATTATTAGTCACCAATTCAGTACAATGAAAAAAAAGTTGAAGAGATATCTTGGAAGTAAACCATATTGTGGAAGAGCATGTAGGCTTTTGATAATCAGGGGATTATTCTGAATTAATTTTAAATGCGATAGGAATATATGAGATAATTTAACCAGAGAATAACATGATTGTGTTTGCATTTCAAAGGGGTGTATCTGGTGCACCGTGTAGAATAAATAGGTTATGTGAGCAAATAAATTGGGAGGCTACTCTAATCCAGAGAAAAAAGGTAGTGACTTAGGTGAGAATGCTGTCACGATGAGTGGTAGTAGTGGTGAGAAGTCGTTAGGCCATGGATGTATTTCATAGGACTGGCCAAGAGAACTGCAGCTAAATTGGAGTGTAGGGAGTGAAATGGAGAACTCAAAGATGACTCTCAGCACTGGAAAGTGACAGCTGTCACTGAAGCATGCTGATGCCTCTTATTAAGAGAGTTACTTGGGAATGGCAAGATCAAAACTTCTCACTTTCAAATTTATGAAAAATATTGTTTTCAGAACGAATGACTTTGGGATCAGAAAGCCATCATTCTAATTGATGGTTCCAAGACTACACGGGCTCACACTCCCAAGAACAAAAGTAAATCATCACAAAGGTGCTTCCTGATAATTCTAGAGAATGGAGAATTACTGTAACATCTTTCTGATTTTAGGAGAGGTAGCAGTTCCCTGTTTAGCCTAAACACTATTTTTTTTAAAGCTCAGCTAAGAGACTCCATTATAATTTTCAAATGTGTGTAACTTAAATTCTCATATGAAATACCACTATGCTTAAATTAGTCAAAACATTTTCCCCATCTACAACTCTATCTCGTCATTGCAATCATTTTCACAAAAGTGACTGCAGCTCACAGACCCTAAAAGGAGAAAATCCAGGGTAGGTTATCTGATCTAGTTAGTTTCGAAGACAGGATCTAGAGATTATTTAATATGAAATAGGTCACCTGAAATGAAGTGTTCACTGAAAACAGCTTGGATCAGCCCAGTTTTCTACCACTGAACCATGCATTTGGTTTAAAAAACACAACAACTCTGGGGAATATCGGCTGCTTCCAACTGTGTTGAAGGTGTTAAAGAAAAGAGCATAAAAGTAAAAATGATCATCTGAGGCCTTTATAGTCTCTGCTCAAGAGACTAGAGTCTTCCATTCTTAACGAAACACCCAAATATCTTAATAATTGGGCAAAAGCTAAATATCAGAGAGATAATTTTATCTTGAAGATTGTTAAATTATAATGGTGATTCACTACCTTGCCACGTCTCTGAGTCAAAAATTAGGTCTTTGTTTAGGAATCAATGGTACTCTGCAACTTGGAAATAGGAAGATTTTAGAAGACTAAAACACTGACTTTCTTGTGTGCAAAAAAAAAGACGTATTGAGATAAGACAAGTCTTTCCTTGCAAGGATACCTCTAATGCTCATACACCACCTCCCCTAACGTTAATATAGCTTCCAGGTCAGTAACCAGTGTCAGAGAGCAGCCCATGCAACTACAAATTCAATAGATGTCGAACACAGGGTCAAGCCTAGAATAAGAAGTCTTAGCTAATTAAGTATGTTTTTTTCCCCAAATTCATATTAACAAAAACTTGGATATGTCAGAGCATGCATTCTAAGTTCACTCAACCTAGGAGGGAGAAACATAATTTTAAATTAAGAGCTGAAGCATTCATGTCCTAACAAAAAGCAAGGAAAACGAAATATCACACCACAGGAGGGATTTCACAAATTAGTGTCAACATCAAAACCTTAAAACAGGCAAGGAGAATGCAGATTCACAATGAATTCTTGTACTTGTTTTGTCAGAGAAGAG
>NC_000009.12:43276457-43281323 GCF_000001405.40 Homo sapiens | reverse complement strand
GGCTTAGTTACTGGTCGTCCACAAATATTGACGCTGATATTAACTCCTGATATATTCTCTGCAAATAGAATATTCATGAGCCTCCTCCTGAAATCAGCAGCCCTAGAGATAGTTTTATAAATTGGATACAAGTTGGAAATCTATATACTCTTTAAGTGTTTGAAATATTAGCTTCCCAGGGAAGAAAATCAAATTCATAAGATATGTTAGGACGATTTAACTCAAGATGTTCAAAACTGAAATGACGTATTCTACAATATGTGATAAAACCACCCCCTAACAACTTAAAGCAAAACAGGGATTGATCTTAAAGACCTGCCTTTTCCTCATCCCCCAGCCAATCAGTTTTCAAATCTTGCATTTTATTTCGAAAGGTCCTTATCCCCCTAGTCTCTTGTTTCTAGACTCGGCACATATTTAAGTTTGTTACCTCTATCTACTGACTTTTTTCTCTTCAAACGGTATCTATGCCTGCCAAATGTGAATATACAAAAAACAAATCAGAATGTGCCATTCTGATTTAAACTGCTTATTAGTTAAAACCCTCAAGATAACATCTGGGTTCTTGGCTGCAATGAGTCAAGCCTACTTACATCTTTTTTTGTCTTTGGCTGCACATTTCCTATCACATCACACTCCAGCAAAGCCAACCTGTGCTGGCCTTCTACCCCATCTCCACTATTTTGCCCCGTGTCGCCGCGGCTTTTTTGCCCCCCGCCGCCGAGGCTTTTTGACCCTCATCGCCGCAGCTTTTTGCTCTCCGCCGCCGCGGCTTTTTGCCACCCCCCCCCCACCCCAACACCGCGGCTTTTTGCGCGCCTCGGCTTTTTGCACCCCCACCGCCGCGGCTTTTTCCCCACCGCGGTTTTTTGCCCCCCCGCCGCCTTGGGTTTATGCCTGCCACGGCTTTTAGTTCCCTGCCGCCGCGGCTTTTTGCCCGACCCGGCTTTTTGCCCGACCCGGCTTTTTGCCCCCCCCTCCCGCCGCCGTGGCTTTTTGCACCCCTGCCGCCGTAGCTTTTTCCCGCCGCGGCTTTTTGCGCTCCCGCCGCGGCTTTCTGCCCGCCGCGGCTTTTTGCCCCCCGCCGCCATGCCTTTCTGCCCGCTGCGGCTTTTTGCCCCCCGCCGCCGCGGCTTTTTGCCCCCCGCCGCCACGCCTTTCTGCCCGCCGCGGCTTTTTGCCTCCGCGGCTTTTTGCCCGACCCGGCTTTTTGCCCCCCGCCGCCGCGGCTTTTTCCCCACCGCGGTTTTTTGCCCCCCCCCCCCCGCCGCCTCGGGTTTATGCCCGCCGCGGCTTTTTGTCCCCCGACGTCGCGGCTTTTTGCCGCCCGCCGCCGCGGCTTTTTGCCGGCCGTGGCTTTTTGCTCCCCCGCTGCCGCGGCTTTTTGTTCCCCCGCTACCGCGGCTTTTTGCGCCCCGCCGATGCGGCTTTTTGCGCCCCCCGCCCCCGCCCCGTGCCGCGGTTATTTGCCCGCAGCGGCTTTTTGCGCCCCAGCCGCCGCGGCTTTTTGCCCCCCACGCCGCCGTGGCTTTTTGCACCCCGCCGCCGTGGCTTTTTGCCCCATGGCCATCCTCAGAAGTGTGAGTGGAACAGAGTGAAGGGAAAGCTGTTTTCTTCGAAAGCTCAAAAATCTTGAACTTTCAAATAGGGATAAGTGTTATTTTTGCTCCAAGCACACATTTGAGAAATCTTCCATTTAGCGGATATGATGATAAACCCACATTTTTTGTTTTAATCTGAAAATGTATTTGTATGGTTCTTGGAAATTTTTTTTGCATATAAAATTATAGTTCATCATCTTATTTCGTTTTATTTACCATTTGATAGTTACTCCTAAAATGTCATTGATTAAAGAATCATCTATTGCTCCAACTGCTCTTTACGAAAGGTAATTTGTCTTTTTTAACCTCATCAGGCTCCTTTTAAGCTCTCAAACTGACCTTATTTTTTTTTTTACAGATTGAATGCATTAAGTCAATTTATTATTTATGATGAATTTATTTATGTATTTATTTTCGCTATCACAAGTAGAAAAAGCCTATAAGTTGCTATGCCAAAAACCTGCCTCTAGATGGCAAACAAACCCCGCAGTACACAAAAGAGAGCCAAATTCTTAGAAACCCTGGGAAAGGAAGAGGGCTACTGTCCCATTAACAACTTGGAGCCCTTAAGGCAAGAATGAGGTGGAACATCTGGAACATCTGGGAGGAGACACCAGGGTGCAGAGTAGTGGGGAACCTGCTCTGTGCTCTGAGACTGAAAGCCCAGCCTTGCCTCTCACCACTGCCTTGACTGTGTCCCCATCTGCTGTGAAGTGAATGGTGTCTTCTAAATTCATGCTGAGCCCTAATTGCTGAAAAGTGTAAGACATGCAATGGGGGGATTATGTGCATCTTCCCGACACCAACATGATGCTCAGGAAGGAGACTTCTTGTTTTCTCTTAGGATTCTTTTACTAACCAAGATTTTACCTCTACTGCATATTTCTGTTTGCTGATTGTCCTTCCCTTTTGACAGAAGATGGCCCAGGGCATTCACTACTAAGTCTCAACCTCTTATCCAAAGCCCTCAGTCCAGTATTGCTCTTTCCTTCATGCTATTTTTGTTTGTTTCTTTTCTTGTAATCATCTTGGCAATAAAATAATAACTTTTTTCTTTCTACCTATTAAAGATGTTACCTTAGTTAATTACAGTGGTTTCCTTCAGAATGATAAATGGTCTTTCAAAATGATGTAAAGAGATCTAAATCCGTGTGCTCCAGAAGTTGAATGAAGCTCTGTCTAGCACGGGCGCCAGTGACTCTCCCAGAGTGCTCCATGCAGCTGGACCCACAGAGTCCCTCTGTGCTGTCATATCACCGACTGCCTTCTGTGAATGAGATATTCTGATTGGAATCCTGGTGGATGCTATTTGAGCCAGTGCCCCCACAACTCCTATGAAAGCCGAGGACCACAGGCCCCTGAAGACAATCACAGGTCTCTAGACTCACAGCTCATGACCGTCCTCTGCAGACACAGCTTCTCCCCGGATGGCTGAGGGTTGTCATTGGCTGTGTCCTTCCTTGTGCATGACAACAGGAGACATAGAAGGTCTGTAAGCAGCCCTGCAAGCCAGGTTCTGAGCAAGCCC
Organism: Homo sapiens; assembly: GCF_000001405.40. NCBI lineage: Eukaryota > Metazoa > Chordata > Mammalia > Primates > Hominidae > Homo > Homo sapiens. The sequence goes on along the minus strand of NC_000009.12, from coordinate 43,278,194 downwards.
TCCTGTGTGGGGCCCTCTTACCTGGACATAGGTGTGTAAACCAAAAATGAAACTCTAAGCTCCCTAACCAACTGAATGAACTCCTCCTCTCAGCCAAGGACACACCAAAATCAACCTGAAATACAATGCAGTCCATGATCAGAACGGATGATTGGATATGCCTTAACTTACCCTCTTCCCTTTAAAATTCAGGCACAACTGACCAGCTTTTAATATGAAGACAGAGACCCTTGAGACTGACAAAGAAAACTCTTTATAGCAATAAGATACCAATGTGACAGATACCACGTCCTAAGAGAAATCAAAGTATTTTCCCCAAGATATCGTTATTTAATGTATTTAAAAATGCCTCTGCAAAGCTGGTTCTTGTGGGGAAAATCTACATTCTGTAGAGATTCCTTTTTAAGTCTCTTTCCTGACCCAGAGAGATTTAACTAAGAGTTTGGCACCTTTTAAGTCTACTAAGAAACAATTACAATCTATTCTCTCTGAAGCCTGCTACCTGGAGGCTTCATCTGCATGATGCAACCTTGGCTCCAAAATCCTTTTTCTAAACCCAGAAACTCCCTTGTGTTGATTACAGGTCATTAGATAAACTCTTTCAACCACCTATGAAATCTTTGAATCCACCTATGACCTGGAAGTCCCCAACATCCCCCCTCGTTCGGGCTGTCCTGCCTTTCCATATCAAAGCAATGTACAGCTTACACGTATTGATTGATATCTTATGTCTCCCTAAAACGTGTAAAACCAACCTGTAGCCCGACGACGTTTGACACACGTTCTCAAGACCTCCTGAGGCTGTTTCACTGATATTTCTTTAACTTTGACCAAATAAATTTCTAAACTGATTGAGAATTTTCTCAGATACTTATTTGTTTATAGGTATCACTGGATACACTTAAGGAATTGAAGAGATTTATGACATTGAGAAAAGGAGGAAGCCAGGGTGTGTGGACAGAGAGAGAGAGAGAGAGATTGTGATGTATGTACAGGACTAACACTGAGACCTGGTTATGTAATGGTGTAGTACTGAGTATCATCCCCAAATAGTGAGGTTTCATTCCAAGAAGACTATGCATGTATCTTATTTGGGAAAACAGCTTTTGCAGGTGTAAATTAAGGAGCTTGAAACAGGGAGATGGTCTTAGATTAATCAACTGGGACTTAAATGCAAACTCAAGTGTCCTAAAAAAAACAAGAGGTAGAGAGACATTTAGCATAGACTGAAGTGGAGAAGGCAGTGTGAACACGGAGACAGAGATTGCAGTGATGTGTCCACATCCCGGGAGAGAGAAGCCACCAGAAGCTGGAAGAGCTAAATCAGACTGCTCCCTAGAGCTTCAGAAGGAGCCAGAACTGATGAATCCAAGATCTTAGCCCAGTGAAACTGATCTGGACTTCTGAACTATGAGAGATTCCATTTCTGTTGTTTGAAGCTACCACATTTTTGAGAACTTGTTACAGTAGCCCGAGGACACTAACACAAATGGGGCTCCAGGAAAATCCAGACTAAAGGTGTTGTGTTGGTTTGCAATCTCCTTGCTTAACTTTCTGATACTAGACGTAAATAGATTGGTGAAAAATTTTGTGATTGAAGAAATGTACATGAAACCTACAGTGTACAGAGAAGCATCTGTTAGTTATAAGATAAATATTGATAATTTTAGTTGAAAATGACATATGACTGTTAATAGCTCACGTAACATTCTGAGTTACTCAAGAATGCATAAAAGG
>NC_000009.12:43274935-43276248 GCF_000001405.40 Homo sapiens | reverse complement strand
TTCCATAGAGGAACCCACCACCTATAAACCAGGAAAGAGACAAAGCCAGAAGTGAAGGGTGGATTTCTTAACACAAGCTCACTGCGACCTCTAGTCCTCATCACGCTGACACTAAGCTTAAACCCAGACCCTTCTACAGTTTTGTCTACAAAGCACAATTTGCCCAAAGCCTTTACAAACACCAACAGCCTTTCTTTCAGATATGGCAGCAGGGTCACATCTTACACGGCCCTGACCACATTTTGTCTCCTCTGCCATCCCCATCTCTCTGACTCAGTCCTCGCTTGCAGCCATAAAAAAGGATGAGTTCATGTCCTTTGTAGGGACATGGATGAAGCTGGAAACCATCATTCTCAGCAAACTATCGCAAGGACAAAGAAACCAATCACTGCATGTTCTCACTCACAGGTGGGAATTGAACAATGAGAACACATGGATACAGGAAGGGGAACATCACACACCAGGGCCTGTCGTGGGGTGGGGGGAGGGGGGAGGGATAGCATTAAGAGGTACACCTAATGTAAACGATGAGTTAATGGGTGCAGCACACCAACATGTCACATGTATACATATGTAACAAACCTGCACGTTGTGCACATGTACCCTAGAACTTAAAGAACAATAATAATAATAAAAAGAATGGGTCTTGTACCTCTAATTTGCCCTACAAATGTTAAAACAGCAAACCCGCATCCCTTTCCTCTTCTCATGTGCTGTGAGGGATGACCTCCAGGCTCTCAGATACCAAGATTGTATAAGACCTAACCCAGAGAATTACTCAAGACACTTTCTACATAAGAAGAATTGTGGTGCTAGCTCTCCTCATAGAAAAATGTTTTCTGTCTCTTGTTGAAATTGACAGCAAACACAAAAACACAGAACTATTTGGGAGAACAGAGGACAGTGATACACTAGGGAAGTAAAACACACCCCTTCCCCTTGCATTGGTTTCCTGTTGCTGCTGTAACAAATTACCACAACCTTACTGCTCCACATAACACAAGTGTATTATCTTACATTTCTGGAGGTCAGAAGTCTCAATGAAGTAAAGTCAAGGAGTAATAGGGCTCTATTCATTCTAGGCTTCAAGAGAGAGAATCCAATATCGAGCATTCCATCTTTCTGATGTTCCCACATTCCTAGCAGCATGGCCCCTTCCTCCATCACTCCAGTTTCCCTGTCCGTTGTCCCAGGTCCTCTCTGGCTGTTACCTTCCTCCTTCCCTATTATAAGGACCCTTGTGATTATGATGGTCTCACCCAGATCATTCAGGATACTCTCCTGACCCCCAAATTCTCAACCATGTCTGCCAA
>NC_000009.12:43268750-43270944 GCF_000001405.40 Homo sapiens | reverse complement strand
AGACAAGCAGCAATCTGAACAGTTTACTCATGTAGAGCTCTGCATTGGCTAACTAATCACAGTGTTCCTGGAAGTGAAACTGACAGGAAGACTAATGCATTCTACTTAATTTATGTAAGGAGGAAACTTAAGTCAAACAGATAAAAGACTAACTGGATCATAAAAACAGAGATTCATGGCCCCTCAATCAATTTCCAGCCTTGAGCCAGTTTACAGACCCAGAACCCCTTGAATGAAGGGGAGGCTGGGTCCCCCTGAGGTGTCCATGGCAGATAGGAATGCTGCTTTGAGGCTTTGGCAGGCCTCCATAGGTGAATCATGGTGGAGGCCTCTAGTATTTTGCAGCAAGGCCTGGTCATCTTCTCCAGTTAACTACTCTCCTTTTGTGAGACAGCTCTTGTCCTATACTGGGCTTTTGTGGAAACTGAACATTTGACTATGAGTCAACAAGTCACCATGCGACCTGAACTGTCTATCGTGAACTGGGTGCTTTCTGACTCATGTAGCCATAAAGTGGGTCATGCACAGCAGCATTCCATCATCAAATGGAAATGGTGTATAAGTGATTGGGCTCAAGCAGGTCCTGGGGGGCACAAGTAAGTTACATGAGGAAGTGGCTCAAATGCCCACGGTCTCTACTCCTGCCACCCTGCCTTCTCTCCCACGGTCTGCACTGATGACCTCATGGGGACTTGCCTATGAGCAGTTGACACAGGAAGGGAGGACTAGGGCCTTGTTCACAGATGGTTCTCCACAATAGGCAGGTACCGCCCAAAAGTGGACAGCTGAAGCACTGCAGCCCCTTTCTAGGACATCCCTGAAGGACAGTGGTGAAGGACAATCTTCCCAGTGGGCAGAACATTGAGCAGTGCACCTGATTGTGCACTTTGCATGGAAGGAGAAATTTCCAGATGTGCGGTTATATACTGATTCATGGGCTGTAGCCAATGGTTTGTCTGGATGGTCAGGGACTTGAAAGAAGCATGATTGGAAAATTGGTGACAAAGAAACTTGGAGAAAGAGTATGTAGATGGACCTCTCTGAGTGGTCAAAAACTGAAGATATTTGTACCCTGTGTGAGTGTTGACCAACAAGTGACTTCAGCAGAGGAGGATTTTGATAATCAAGTGGATACGATGACCCGTTCTGTGGATACCACTCAGCCTCTTTCCTCAGACACCCCTGTCATTGTCCAATGAGCCCATGAACATAGTGGCCATGGTGGCAGGGATGGAGGCTATGCATGGATTCAGCAATGTGGACTTCCACTCACCAAGGCTGAACTGTCTGTGGCCACTGCTGAGTGCCCAATTTGCCAGCAGCAGCAGAGACTAACAGTGAACTCTTTGTATGGCATCATTTCCCGGGGTGATCGACCAGCTACCCGGTAGCAGGTTGATTATATTGGAACTCTTCCACCATGGAAAGGAGAGAGGTTTGTCCTCATTGGAACAGGCACTTACTCAGGATATGGGTTTGCCTACCTGCATGCAATGCTTCTGCCAAGACTACCATTTATGGACTCAAGGAATGCCTTATCCACTATCACGGTATTCCACACAGCATTACCTCTGACCAAGCACTCACTTTACAGGTAAAGAAGTGAGGCAGTGGGCTCATGCTCACGGAGTTCACTGGTCTTACCATATTCCCCATCTTCCTGAAGCAGCTGGATTGATAGAATGGTGGGACGGCCTTTTGAGGTCGTGATTACAACGTCAACTAGGTTACAATACTTTGCCGGGCCGGGGCACCATACTCCAGAAGACCATGTGTGCTCTGAATCAGCGCCCAATGTATGGTATTGTTTCTCCCATAGCCAGGATTCACAGATCCAGGATTCAAGGGGTGGATGTGAAAGTGGAACCACTCACTATGATGCACTAGCAAAATGTTTGCTTTCTGTTCCCACGACATTAGGTTCTGCTTTACTAGTCATCTTAGCTCCAGAGGGAAGAACGCTGCTACCAGGAGACACAATAACAATTCCATTAAACTGGAAGTTAAGATGGCCACTTGGACGCTTTGGGGGTCCTCCTACCTTTAAGTCAACAAGCTAAGAATGGAGTTACAGTGTTGGCGGCAGTGATTGACCCAGACTATCAAGATGAAGTCAGTCCGCTACTCCACAACGGAAGTGAGGAAGCGTATGAATGGAATATAGGAGATCCATTAGGGCGTCTCTTGGTATTAT
>NC_000009.12:43263820-43268730 GCF_000001405.40 Homo sapiens | reverse complement strand
AACTATACCCAATCCAGGTAGGACTACAAATGGTCCAGATCCTCTCCGGGTCACGACCTGCTGAGGTGCTTGCTGAAGGCAAAGGGAATACAGAATGAATAGTGGAAGAAAGTAGTTATCAATACCAGCTACGACCACCTGACCAGCTGCAGAAATGAGGACTGGAACTATCATGAGTATTTCCTTCTTCTTTTGTTAAAAACATGTTTGTGCATGTATGCACTTGTACTAAGAAAATATCTTCATTTCATTTCCCTTTTCTTTATCAGGTGACATAAATTTGCTGACCTCATATGAGCATTTAAGTGTTGTTTACTTTATGTAAGAGTATTTGGGTTGGGGATGGGTGCATTTCCAGTTGTAGGAAGGATAGTTTATTATGTGAGGGGTAATTATGACCTTACTATTGTCTGTATTTTAAGATTATGTATGATCTCAGGAGATGTGTGTGGGTTGAAGTTCACAAGGGGTGGGCTTGTGATGGTTAATAATGAGTGTCAACTTGATTGGATTGAAGGATGTAAAGTATTCATCCTGGGTGTGTCTGTGAGGGTGTTGCCAAAAAAAGATTAACATGTGAGTCAGTGGGCTGGGAAAGGCAGACCCACCCTTAATCTTTGTGGGCACAATCCAATCAGCTGCCAACCCAGCCATACTATAAGCAGGCAGAAAAATGTGAAAAGAGACAGGCGTCGCCTCCCAGCCTATATCTTTCTCCCATGTTGGATGCTTCTTGCCCTCGAACATGGACTCCAAGTTCTTCAGTTTTGGAACTCTGGCTGGCTCTTTTCCCTCGTCATCCAGCAGATGGCCTATTGTGAGACTTGGTGATTGTGTGAGTTAATACTTAATAAACTTCCTGTATTAGCCAGTGACATCTAGAGGGACAGAACTAACAGGATATATACATATATATATACATACACACACACATACATATATATATGCATACACACACACACATATATATATTTATTTATAAAGGGGAGTTTATTAACTTACGGGATCATAAGTTACACAATGGGCTGTCTGCAAACTGATGAGAAAGGAGAGCCATGGAGTCCAATGTTTGAGGGCAGGAAGAAACCAGCATGGGAGATAGATGTAGGCTGGGAGGCTAGGCCAGTCTCTCCTTTTCAAATTTTTTTGCCTGCTTTATATTTGCTGGCAGCAGATTAGATTGTGCCCACCAGATTAAGGGTGGTTCTGCCTTCCCCAGCCCACTGACTCAAATGTTAATCTCTTTTGGCAACACTCTCACAGACATACCCTGGATCAATACTTCATATCCCTCAATCCTATCAAGTTGACACTCATTATTAACCATCTCACTCCCCTTCATATATATATGTATATAGTCCTTTAATTCTGTCACTCTAGAGAACCCTAATACATCTACACTTCTGATGATCTATTTCTTTTATTTTAGATCATTTATTTCCCCTGGGTTGCCTACACTCGCTTCTTCCCACTCCCCTATGAAGGACAATATAAGCCTCTGGACCTCACTAGGTCAGGGCATGTCCCTGCTTGCACTATCCATGACACTTTCCTCTTTTACTCTTTAGCAATGAGGGAATGTCATCCTTACCCAGATACCAGCCACCTGTCTCACATCCAGGACAGAGAGTCTCCATCTCCTCTCCAGCAAATACCCATGTATGTGGGCATGGTGGCATGCCCCTGTGATCCCAGCTACTCCATAGGCTTAGGGGGGAGAATCACTTGTGCTTGAGAATTCAAGGTTGCAAGGAGCCATGATCACACCACTGCACTTCATGCTGGGTAACTGAGTGAGACCCTGTGATTTTTCCCCTACATTTTACAGAATTTTTTTTTTGCCTCTTTCTTCTATTAATTTATGTTTTGCCCATTCATTTTCTGCAAGCCTTCAGAGGGCAAATAGGAAGTTTCCCTTTGTAACGTGGTGGCTCACGTCTGTAATCCCAGCACTTTGGGAGGCCGAGGTGAGCAGATCACCTGAGGTTGGGAGTTCGAGACTAGCCTGACCAACATAGAGAAATCCCGCCTCCACTAAAAAAAATACAAAATTAGCAGGGTGTGGTGGTGTGCACCTATGATCCCAGCTACTCAAGAGGCTGAGGCAAGAGAATTGCTTGGACCTGGGAGGCGGAGGTTGCAGTGAGCCCAGATTGTGCCACTATACTCCAGCCTGGGTGACAAGAGCGAAACTCCGTCTCAAAAAAAAAAAAAAAAATGAAACAAAAACAAACAAATAAAAAAACACCTACTGCCTCACTGAATTAAAGATGTGTTCAGCAGTTTCTTTGTTATTTCAAAGAGTGGCATCTGCTTCAGTAGGGTCAGTTTTTAATGTATTTGTTTTGTTTCTTTTTTCTCTGTCTGGTGTTCTTTTCTATTTTATTATAATTTTTTAAATTTGAGGGATGAGGTTTTCATAGGACTGAATATCAAACAATGAATCCGCATGAATGATTCACCTAATTTCCTTGGTTTTAGTCCTCTATACAGGTTTTATATAGCAAAAGAACCATTTAAAGACTTGGGTTACAAATATATTTTATTTTGCCTCTGGCATGCCTTGGGCTGAGAAAGCATTATATGGTGGCACAATATTTGTAACATTCTCATAGCCATCTGGTGGTGGTTCGAGGTATGACATTTTGAAAATCTAGCAAGAATTAAAATATGTCAAGTTAGAGAGAAAAATTCCAGATTATTATTAAGATATAATTCATTTTGCCCCAAGTATATACTTCAGATTAAGCATCCTGGAACTAGGTTCTATAATTAAATAGATAAATTACACTGACAACAATGAGAAAGAGCCTTATCATTATTATTGTCTTCCTAATAACAGAAACTTTTATAAATGCATGCAATCGCAGGTAACCAAAAGTTTCCTTATAAAGTGTAACAGCAGAGCTTCAAAGGTGGCACTTTGGCAAGGCTCTTTTTTTGACTATGCCTTTTCAGCTTCCTTTGTGGGCTCCTTTTCTTTCATCTTTATTTAAATAATATTTCCCTATGTTTTATCCCCAGCCCATTGCTTGCCTCTGTACTGCCTCCCCGCGAGACTTCATTAAGTATCAGAATTTTACCAATAGCTCATATGCTTATGATGCTTACCTTTTCAGATTCGTATATTTAAATGTTTTGTGATTATTTCATCCTGGATGTCCAAACTCTACATGTTAAAATTCAAATTTATCATCTCTCACCCTGGGCCTGCTTTTGGTCTGCATTTCCTACCTCTATTAATAGCTTCAGTCATTAGCCACCGACACCAGACAGTCTCGGAGTCATCCTGAACTCTATCTTCCCCTCCTTCCCCAAGTCAATCACTAATCAAGTCCTGCTAATACATTTCCTTACTATTTCTGAAATCCATCCCTCTTCCTCATTCCTACTAACATCCTAATTTAAAACTTTATTATCTTTTACCTGGACTATTGTCTTAAGACAACAACTTTAACCCGTTGCTTAGCCTAGGTGTAATCCACAGAGAATCTTGCCTGTCTAAAATGCCCCTCTAGCCACATCCATCCCCTGCTCAGATCTTGTCATTGGCTCCCATGAACTGAAGTTGAAGTTTAAGCTCCTTAGGACAGCATACACGCCCTTCTATGATCTGTTCCCAGAACATATTTACTGGTTTATCTCATATCATGGCCCACTTTGTATTTTACACTTTTGAAATACAGAAAATCATTACATTCTCCCAATAATACTCAGCTAGTATATGCCTAAAAGCCTTTGCCAATATTTTGTCTTTTGTTGAGAATTCTCTTAGCTTATTTTGTCACGTGGTTAACTCCTTATGTCCTTTCATGACTCACATGTCAAGACTTCAGGAAACCTTCTCTAACTCCCAGGCTGGGCTGAGTGACCCTTTTCTGAGTAAATAATGAACTCTAATCATACTCTTCATAGCACTTACCATACTGATTTGAAGTCTGAAGTATTCCATTGTCTGCCTCACTTTACTTAGGCAAAGGAACCATGTCCTAGTCTCATTCTGGCCTCAGGACTTCAGCCTGGGCAACAGTGGGAGACTGTGTGTCAAAAAAAAAATTGCCAATGATTGAAGCCTAATACTGAAGATTCTGGTTTATTAATAATTAGTCTGTTGCTGGGTGTTAATTGAGCTCCCCAAGTGATTAATCATGTAGGACTTCAAACCAATAATTTAGAACCTTGTGACTCAAAATCTGGGCAAAAATAAGCAGCATCAGTATCACCTGGGAGCAGCTTCAGGTCTCACTTTAGATTTACTCTGAATCGAAATATTATATTTTTATTAAAAAAATTAAGAACAGATGACAAGCTTCAACTACATCTAAATTCTTTAGATTTACTTTAAAAGAATCAACATTTTGACACAATACCAAAGTGAACTAAATTCGCTTTTTTTTTTTTTTTGAGACAGAGTCTTGCTCTGTTGCCCAGGCTGGAGCGCAGTGGTGCAATCTCGGCTCACTGCAACTTCCACCTCTCCAGTTCAAGCGATTATCTTGCCTTGGCCTCCAAAGTAGCTGGGATTACAGGCACATGCCATCATGCCCGGCTAATTTTTGTATTTTTAGTAGAGACAGGGTTTCACAATGTTGGGTCAGCTGGTCTCGAACTCCTGACCTCAAGTGATCTGCCCGCCTCGGCCTTCCAAAGTGCTGAGATTATAGACATGGGCCACCATGCCCAGCCTAAATTTGCTTTAATTTGGAGAAGTACTGGTCTAGAAAACACAAATTCCAAGGAGACTCAGGTTCTTAAGTTGATTTCTTGAGTACAAGTTCTTCAAATGCATTCTCCAAGATTAATTTTTTTTTTTACTTTTTAAATTGACAAAGATTATACACATTCATGTCTATACGGGGATGTTTCAGTACATGTAGATGGTGATCAGATCAGGGTAATTAGCATATCTA
>NC_000009.12:43254352-43263290 GCF_000001405.40 Homo sapiens | reverse complement strand
GCATTCTCCAAAATTAATTTTTTTTTTTACTTTTTAAATTGACAAAGATTATACACATTCATGTCTATACGGGGATGTTTCAGTACATGTAGATGGTGATCAGATCAGGGTAATTAGCATATCTATCATCTCAAACATTTATTATTTCTTTGTGTTGGGAACATTCAAACTACTCCTAGGTATTTTAAACTACATAATATAGTATTGTTAACTATAGTCATCTATAGAACACTAGAACTAGAACACTAGAACTTATTACTCCCACCTAGCTGTAATTTTGTATCCATTAACAAATCTCTTATTATTCCTCCTTTCTCCCTACCCTTTTCAGCCTGCAGTATCCTCTGTTCTACTTTTTACTTCTATGAGATCAACTTTTTTTTATCTTCTGCGTGAGTGAGAACATGTGGTGTTGAAATTTCTATTCCTGGCTTATTTTGCTTAACATAATATCCTCCAGTTTCATCCATGTTGCTGAGAATGACAGGATTTTATTTATTCTTTTTTATGGATAAATAGCATTCCTTGGTGTATATATACCATATTTTAAAAATCCATTCATCTATTGTTGGAAACCTAGGTTGATTCCATATCTTGGCTATTGTGAACACTGTTGCAATAAACATGGGGATGCAGATGTCTCTGCAATATAATGCTTTTCTTTCCTTTGGATAAATTCCCAGTAGTGGGATTGCTTGAGGTGTTTCAATACTGTTCTCCATACTGGCTGCACTAATTTACATTCCTACCAAGAGTGCATAAGAATTCCTTTTTCTCCAGCTACTCAGGAGGCTGAGGGAGGAGAATTATTTGAACTCTAGAAGCAGAGGGAGCCAGATTACACCACCACTGCACTCCAGCCTGGACGGAGAGTGAGATTCTGTCAAAAAAAAAGTCCCTTTTCTTCACGTCTTTGTCAGCATTTGTTATTTTTGTCTCTTCTATAATAGCCATCCTAACTGGAGTAAGATGATGCCTCACTGTGGCTTTGATTAGCATTTCCTTGCTGATTAGTGGTGTTGGACATTTTTTCATATATTTGTTGGTCATTTGTATGTCTTCTTTTGAGAAATGTCTGTTCAGAGCATTTGTTTATATTTAATTAGATTGTTGTGCTTCTTTGCTGTTGATATGTTTGAATTCCTTGTATATTCTTGATATTAATTTCCTGCCAGATGAGTTTATATTTTCTCCCATTCTGTAGGTTGTCTTTTCACTCACTTTATTATTTCCTTTGCTGTGCAGAATATTTTAACTTGATGTGATCCCATTTGTTTATTTTTTCTTTTGTTGCCTGTGCTTTTGATGCCTTATTCATAAAATATTTTCCCAGAGCAATGTCCTGAAGGATCTCCCCTATGTTTTCTTCTAGTAGCTTTACCATTTTGGGTCTTATATTTGGGTATTTGAGATACCTTGAGTTGATCTTTGTATAGGGTGAGAGGCAGAGGTCTAGTTTCATTCTTCTGCATATGGATATCCAGTTTTTCCAGCACCATTTATTGAAGAGACTATCCTTTCCCCAATGAGTGTTCTTGGCACCTTTGTAAAAAAATCCTTTGGCTGAGATATGTGGATTTTCTGGGTTCTTTATTCTATTCCATAGGTCTATGTGTCTGTTGTTATGCCAATACCATGATGTTTTGGTTACTACAGTTTTGTAGTATATTCTGAGGTCTGGTAGCATGATACATCCAGCTTTGTTCTTTTTGCTTAGGATGGCTTTGGCTATTCAGGATATTTTTTGATTCCATAAAATCTCTTTGGATTTTTTTTAATTTTGTGAAGAATGTTCATAGGTATTTTGATAGAGATTGCATTGAATCTGTAGGTTGCTTTTGAGTAGTACTGTCACTTTAACAACATTCATATTTCTGATCCATGAGTGTGAATGTCTTTTCATTTGTTTGTATCCTCTTCAATTTCTTTCATTAGTGTTTTGTAGTTTTCATTTTACCTCCTTGGTTACATTTTTGTCTGGGTTTTTTTTTGGTAACTATTGTAAATGGGTTTGCCTTCTTAATTTCTTTTTCAGTGAGTTTGTTGTTCATATATATAAATGCAACCAATCTTTGTGTATTAGTTTTGTGTTTTGCAACTTCACTGAATTTGTTTGTTCTAAAAGTTTTCTGGTAGAGTCTTCAGGTTTTCCTATATATAAGATCATGTCATCTGCAAATAGGAACAATTTGATGTCCTCCTTTCCGATTTGAATGCCCTTTATTTCTTTCTCTTGTCTAATTACTCTTGATAGGCCTTCACATTTATATACTTTGAATATTTAAAATGTTTACATAAATGTCAGAATCAACTTTCATTTTTCATAGAAAAAGAAAACCCTACTTGTTTTGTAGTTTTAATATTAATCAATTATTGTTATCTGAGACAAATTATTTAACAAATTAAACTGTCTATTAAAATACTTCACCACAAATAAATTCCATAAGGAAAATATCTACAACTGTTTTTATGAAAGAAAAAAGGCTTCTCTACAGTAGCTTAGGCCCGGTGACATGGCACACACCTATAAATCCCAGCGCTGTGGGAGGCCATGGCAAGAGGATCATTTGAGCCCAGGAGTTTGAGACCAGCGTGGACAACAAAGTGAGACCTCATCTCTACAAAAAATAAAAAAGAAATTAGCTGGCCATGTGGTGCATGCCTGTGGTCCTAGATACTCGAGAGGCTGAGGAAGGAGGATCACTTGAGCCAGGGAGGTGGAGGTTTCACTGAACCATATTCACACCACTCCACTCCAGCCTGGGCAACAGAGCTAGACCTTGTCTCAAAAAATTAAGTTAGTTAAATTAAACATAAAGTTGCATTGTATTTAAGAAATTGGGAAAGCAGAAAATGCTTCTGTTTTTCTTTTGAGTTGAACAATGAGAACACATGGACACAGGGAGGGGAACATCACATACTGGGGCCTGTCAGGGGGGTGGAAGGCTGGGGGAGTGATAGCATTAGGAGAAATACCTAATGTAGATGATGTGTTGATGGGTGCAGTAAACCACCATGGCATGTGTATACCTATGTAACAAACCTCCACGTTCTGTACATGTATCTCAGAACTTAAAATGTAATAATAACAATAATAAAAACGACAAAAAAAAGGAAATGCTTCTTGTTAGAACAGATTACATACCCTCATTGCTTTTTATAATAGCCTGTAATAAGAGAATATCCACAAGGTGGCAGTAATATATCAGTTTTATCCTCTGAAATTAAAACTTTTGCCTATTCAGTAATACAATGGATCATTTGAACTCACTCTAACACGTAGAATACAGCAATTTGACTTAATAATTAGCCTTTAAATTTACAGTCTTGTATTATCACTTTAGTGGTTTGAATTATTTTGTATTTTAATATATTTAAATGAATTAGTCCTATACAAATTTAATTTGACATGTGGAGGTGTTTTTATTCAATTTTCAGAAGTTTAGCTTTAAAAAAATTTCTAAACTTCGACATCTGGTGAGTGCCAATGTTTTTATCTTATTAAAAGGTGACAGACCACACTATATTCAACTGATTTTTTTTTTAAGAAGGATGCAAAATCAGTTTAAAGGAAGGATATCTTTTTCAACAAATGGTGCTAGAGCAATTGGACATTCACAGGTACAAAAACTAAGACTGACCTAAATTTATACTTTATATAAAATTTAGCTCACATAAATCACAGGCTTAAATGTAAAATGTAATATTATAAAACTTAAAGATGTGTATGGTAGCTCGTGCCTGTAATCCCAGCTACTACTCAAGTGGCTGAGGTGGAAGGATCACTTCAATCCAGCAGTTAGTGGCTGCAGTGAGCAATGATGGCACCACTGCACTACAGCTTGGGTGAAACCTCATCTCAAAAATAATTAATAAATAAATAAATTCATTAAACTTTTTAAAATAGAAGAAAAGTCTTGAGACCTTGGGCTAGGCAAAGAATTTTTAGGCTTGATATCAAAAACAAAATCTACAAAAGGAAAAAGTGATAAAACTGGACTTCATTAAAATAAATAAACACTTTTTTTTTTTTTAGTTAGTAAGACCCTGTAAAGAGGTTGAAAAAATGAATTACAGAGTAGGAGAAATAATTTGCATACCATATATCTGACAAAGAACTTACATCTAGCATATGTAAAAAATTCTCAAAACTCAGTAGTAATAAATAAGGTATCCAATTAGAAAATAGGCATATGTGACCTCTCTGTATTATAACTTAAACCTCATGTGACTACAATTATTTCAAATGAAATAAACAAAACAGTAATGCCTGTTTCTAGCATATAAAATAATCAGAGAACATAGAATTGTACAATGTTAAATTATTGGACCATTTACTTAATTTAAATATTTTTAAATGCGTGTACCCATTTTGCTTGAAGGTGTGTGCAAGTATGCTTGTATTTTTTTAACGATAATATGGTCACATGAGCATTAAATTTATTTTTAAAAATTTATAGTTACCCCACACAAGTTCTTATTGATTCCCTCATTCTTAACACCTGCATAGTATTTCATTTTATAATTAATGGATTGTAGGTTTATTCTTTTAAAATCACTTGTGTTGTTCTCATGTTTTTTTTTTTTTCACTAAAAAGTGTTGCAATGCACAAAACTAAAAATATAAGGAGGGTCTTTTCTGGATCTCTGTTGAAAAACTTTGAATAAAAACTACAAGTTCAAATCACATGCAAAATAAACATTTTAATTAATAGGGATTTTATGCAAGATGTTAGTAGCAGTAGCAGCACAGTTTTATTAATATCCCTGAATCTCTCACAAAAACGGACTGAGCAACTGGGATAACAAGGTATTAACTATGACAAAACAATGTAACAGGGTGTCATCATGGACCTTTTGTGAGGTTAAACCACAGGGACCCAGGGGAATTACCAATTTTTTTGGAAGAAGGAAAGGAAAGGAAAAAAATGTTTAATGGCCCTGGGAACTGGAAAACCTAGAAATACAAGTGCTAACATCTATGTTCCTAAATTCAGAGATTCTTACTAGGCAAAAAGAACTCAGCAGATTAATCTGAGAACAGCAGCTGAGGCTGGCAGAAGGCTTCCTGGGCCTCAACTCATAGCTGAGAGTGAGGATGCCAAAAAGCAGGTGCTGTGAGTGGTCTGTTTCCTATGAACCCTACAAATTAACCACCCCCAAAACAAAGCCCTGTCCTAAGGAGAAACTGCAGGAAGACAATTATAAGTTGAGTTGGGAAGCACACTGAGGCTCAAGAAAAGGGAAGCTCCAGGTTAAGATGCAAGAGAAGAAGGGAAAAGGCAGTTTTCTGCAAGTTCAAGCACAAATAATTTCTTTACCTTCTAGTTCTGGAAATACCAGGTGTTGTGTATGTAAAGCAGGAATTTTGGTTGAATATTATATAATTTTCTGACCCACTGTTACTAATCCAGTTTCCCCTGTACTCAGATCTTCCATGCTACAGACAGACTGACAGATGCTCAGCAAATAGTAGCTAATATTTTCTAGGAAACTAGGTGCTAAACGAGTTTTCTTAAATTTCTACCTCCAGGTCTGTAAGTTGATTTGAAGCATTACCAGTTTCTGGTTCTGCACAGGTTGTTGAGCGCAGGACTTCTCTCCTCCAGTGGAAAGTCCACCTGCTCACAATCAACCATCCTTTCCTGCAGCCTTGGAGACACTGCTCAGTGTAGCACGCCTCCCAGTCTAGAATAGGCACACTCATCATCAGTCTCTCTCATTTTCTGTCTTATCTCCATTCCATCTACATACAGTTTTTGTTTTCGCCAATGTTTTTAAATAAACAACTGTACAAGCACAACAATGACAACAGAAACCTTCCTTCTCCCAGTGTTGTAGTGAGCAAGGAATATATTTAACTTCAAATAAAAGACAAAAACAAATGCTGGATAAAGCTGACAGAAAGAAATGCAACTGTAGGTGCTCTGGCAATATAGAAATGATACAACTAAGAAAAATGGAAGAAAAGGAAAGAGAAAGTATTCCTCAGAATCATTTTACTGACTGCTCATTTGTAATGCCTGGGAGTCAAAGGATATTGTTTATAGAAATGTAAGCATACTTAATGGCACCAGGGGAAACAAAGTTAATATGATTAAATCAAATTGTGGGATGAAAAATCACATAGGGAGGACAAGAAAGAGAATACAGCTAATACCATTGTTCTTAGTTTAGAGACATTAGCTACTGTCTAAAGAAAGGGACGATTTTATGAAGTTACATAAGGTAGCCATCAGAATAAAGTTTAACTCTTCCAAATATCACAACATCAAAACAAAAGCAATAAAAACAAACAAGACAGCAAAAGACAGATATGGGCATATAAATCATAGCATAATATACTGTAATCAAAATATAACCAAACACAATTTATCATTAAAAGTAAGTGGACTTGACTCTTATTAGAGGAAAAAATATTGTCAGATTAAATCAAAAAGCAAATCTCAATTCTATGCTGGATATAAGATAAAGTGTTACAGAAAGTTTAGAAATAAAAGTATAGGCAATGAATAAAAGGATCTTCTCTTCATGCGTTAGGAGTATAAAACAGTACATAAACACATCATACGTTTTCTGTTTTTACACTTAAATGGCTGGAGATGTTACACCACTAGTATGAATTTACTTCAGATATATAAAGGATACACTTTTATGTGGTTAGAAACAGCAATGATAACAGTTAAGGTGAAAATAACATCTGCATTGACGTTAGGAAGAAAGAGCCATTGTTGGGTACATAGTGATCACATTACCATGGAGGAATCTGTTCCCAACTGAAATGTCCTTGCCCTTCTACTGAAATCATGTAAGATTCTGCAAAAGTAGTGTTTACTTCCCACAAATCAGCCATTTGTGGGAATGGCTGCTATTGTTGTCCACACGGAATGAGCATCAGACCTATATTTAGCTGTTGTATCATTAAGAGTCGCATTTGGCCCTTTCCAGAGACTGTTATTTCAATTATATTTTGGAGAATTAGTCTATTTCCAGACAAATAATTTTTCCAGAACTTTGATCCATATGAAATGACCCTTTGTTAGGGATCCAGGGATTGAGTTTATTTTTAATTACTGTAGCATCCTGGTCAGGTTGAGAAACAAATTACCTTTATATTTCCCTGGCATGTGAGCAGGGCTAGATTTAGCGTGAGAATGCTTGAAAGTTTATAGTTTTTTAGAAATTTTATTTACTGTGTGTCTCTTTATCAAAATAAAATTAACGCTGAAAAGCTATATTAAATGAATTATTTTTAGATGGTCTCTTCCCCCTTCTTCCAATGAGAGGATATCCACAGATATGTCAGGAGCTTGCTTTACCTAGAAATGTGTTGAGGGCCACAGGTTTGGGTTCACCTGGGAATGTTTAGGGACACCTCCCCAAGTTGTTGTTGAAGAGTGGGGTAAATGTAAGATAGAATTAGGCTCACGGAGGCCAGATGAGAGCATCATGTCACCCCAGAAACACAGCATATACCTAGGAGATCTGTTCTCAGTATCAAACTCTTAAGCACTGTAAGATTGCCTATAGACCAAGACAACAACTATATATATATATATAGTTAATAAAATCGGTTAATATATAAACATATATTTATATATTAACTTATTTTTATTTTTATCTTCAGACAGCATCTCACTCTGTCACCTAGGCTGGAGTGCAGTAGTGCAATTAAGGCTCACTACAGCCTTGACCTCTGGGGCTGAAGCTATCCTCCTGCCTCAGTCTCCTAAAGTGCTAGGATGAGAGGTGTGAGTCACCTTGCCAGGCCCAGGGCAAAAACTATGCAATGTTTATATAATTTGGAGCAAAAAATATTTGAAATATGTGTGCATTGCTTTTTAACCTTTTCTATTGATTTACTTTATTAAATACTGAACAGAAACAATATATTTATAAAATATTTATTTTATATATATAATAAGCACATAATGAACACCTGTGTCTCCAGTCTTGGTTTAAGAAATTAAGCCAAAAGTAATCATAAGTGCTTATGATTACTTTTGAAGTCACCTGTACAACTTTTGCTGACTACATCCCCTTCTTCAACACTCTAACGATGGCCACTGTGAGCACTGTGTATATTGAATTGTGTTGTATTTTAATACCGTGTGCACTACATTGTTTTCCTAGCTGTATGCTATTGCATTTGGTGAGCATAATGAATTATATCAGTATAATTCACTTTTGTCATTTCATTGTTTCAGCTTTTCTGTACTAATTATTGCCAATATATTTCTACTGGCATAAAAACAGACACATAGGACAGTGGAACAGAATAGAGATCACAGACAAATCTACACATTTACAAACAACTCATCTCTGACAAAGGCATCAAGAACATACACTGGGAAAACAACAGTCTTTTCAATAAATGATCCTGGGAAAACTGACTAACTATATGCAGAAGGATAAAATTAATCCCATCTCACCATACACAAAAATCAAATCAAATAAAAATTGATTAAAGACTTGAATCTGAGACCTGAAACTATGAAGCTAGTAAAAAAAAAAAAAGCATAGGAAAGGCTGGGCGCGGTGGCTCACGTCTGTAATCTCAGCACTTTGGGAGGCCAAGGCAGGCAGATCACAAGGTCAGGAGATCGAGACCACCCTGGCTAACACGGTGAAACTCCGTCTCTACTAAAAATACAAAAAAAAAAAAAAAAATTAGCGGGGAATGATGGTGGGTGCCTGTAGTCCCAGCTACTCGGGAGGCTGAGGCAGGAGAATGGCGTGAAAAAGAAAAAAAGAAAGAAAAAAAGAAAGCATAGGAGAAATGCTCCAGGACATTAGTCTGGGCAAAGATTTTTTGCGTAAGACCTCGGAAGCGCAGGCAACAAAAGCAAAAATAGACAATGGGATTATATCAAACTAAAAAGCCTCAAGCAAAGGAAACAATCAATAAAGTGAAGAGCCAACCACAGAATGGGACAAA
>NC_000009.12:43240579-43254332 GCF_000001405.40 Homo sapiens | reverse complement strand
TATAAGGAGCTCAAGCAATTCAATAATAAACAAACAAAAAATCTGATTGAAAAATGGGCTACTGAAGAGGCTGAGGTAAGAGGATTTCTTTTTCTTTTTTTTTTTTTTTTGAGATGGAGTCTCGCTGTCGCCCAGGTTGGAGTGCAGTGGCGTGATCTCGGCTCACTGCAGGCTCTGCTCCCCCGGGGTTCACGCCATTCTCCTGCCTCAGCCTCCTGAGTAGCTGGGACTACAGGCACCCGGCACCAAGCCCGGCTAATTTTTTGTATTTTTAGTAGAGACGGGGTTTCACTGTGTTAGCCAGGATGGTCTCGATCTCCTGACTTCGTGATCCGCCCGCCTCGGCCTCCCAAAGTGCTGGGAATACAGGCGTGAGCCACCGCGCCCGGTCAGGAGGATTTCTTAATCCCAGGAGTTTGAGGTTACAGTGAGCTATGATTATGCTACTGCCCTTTAGCTTGGGTGACAAAGCAAGACCTTGCTTCTAAAAAAAAATAGTTAAAAATATAAAAATAAATACAATTTATAAATGGGCAAAAGATCCGAACAGATATTTTCTCAAAAGAAGACATACAAATGGCCAATAGGAAGATGAAAAAATGTTCAATATCACTAATCATCAAAGAAATGCAAATCAAAATCACAATGCAATATCATCTCACCTTGGTTGAAATGACTTGTTTCAAAAAGACAGGCAATAACAGATGCTGGCAAGGATGTGGAGAAAGGGAAATACTAGTACACTGTTGGTGGGAATCTACATTAATAAAGCCACTATGGAGAACAGTATGGAGGTTCCTCAAAAAAGTAAAAATAGAACTACCATGTGGTCCAGCAATTTCTTTACTGGATATATATCCAAAATAAAGGAAATTAATGTATCAAAGACATATCTACATGCCGATGTGTACTGCAGCACTATTCACAATAGACAAAATGTGGAATCAATGTAAGTGCTCATCAACAAATGAATAGATTTTAAAAGTCATATATATACATAATGGAATACTACTCAGATACAAAGAAGAATGAAATTCTGTCATTCGCAGCAACATAGGTGGCGCTGGCCATTTGGCTTAACGTAATGAACATAGGCCATTATGTTAAGTGGAATGAGCCAAGCACAGAAAGCCAAATACCACATGTTGTCACTCATATGTGGGCAGTAAAAAAGTGGATCTCATGAAGATAGAAAGTAAATTGGTGGTTGCTAGAGGCCAGCAAGGGGAGGGGGAAGAGGAGATTAAGAGAAGAAAATATAAATGTATTTATCACCACTAAACTGTCCTCTAAAAATGTACAGATGGTAAATTGTATATATATTTTTTAACTCAATAAAAAGTTAAAAATTCTGCTGTGTGTTTATAGGGCACATGTACAAGACTTTCTCTAGGGTTGTATCAGTTTTCTATTCCTGCTGTAACAATTTACCACAAATTCAGTGGCTTAAAAGAACACATTTTTGTAAGATTTGAGTCAGTTTTAATAAACACACACAAACTTATTGTCCTAGAATTGTTTTGGTTGAAAATCTGTCATGGCTCTCACTGAAATAACATCAAGATGTTGGCAGGCTGCATTTCTTTCTGAAGGCTCTAAAAAAGCATCTGGGTTGTTGGCAGAATTCAGTTCCTTGTGGTTGTAGATTCTCAGTCTCTTCCTTTTTGTAAACTTTGGGTCATTCCCAGCTTCTAAAGGTCACTGGCTTTCCTTGGCTTGTGGCCCCCTACCACTGTTTTAAAAGCCAGTAATAGCAGGCCACGTCTTTCTCATACTGCCATCTGTCTGAATCTCAGCATCCAGAAAATATTCTGTGCTCTCAAGGAATTATGAGATTAGATTGGCTCACCAAGATAATTCAAGGTAATTTCCCCATTTCAATGCCCTTAATGGTAATCACATCTGCCAAGTCCCTTTGAATATGCTAACTTACGTTAGCATGTTCACCTTATCTGAAGACTGGGATGTGGCTGTCTTTGGTGGGGGGCAATTATTCTGCCTAACCCAAAGATACACGACTTGCAGATATACAACTAGTTCATGGAGATGAAACATTTTCAAATCTACAAGAAAATGTTTTCTAAAATGAGCATTTCATATTAGACTTTCACTAGCACTGTATGAGAATTATATTTACTTCATAATGTTGCCAATACTGATATCAGGTATTTAATTTTCTAGCCAGTTCAGGATAATGTGAATTGTGAATAATATATTTGGTCATTCAGTCAACAAACATTTTTTATCAGATACCACCGATATGCTGGTCAGTGTGATGGATCCTAAAAATATAGCTGTTATTATTATTTTTTTAAACAAAGTCCCCACTGTGATAAAGCATTTATTCTTTGGGACAGGCAGACAGTAATCCAGATAAATAAATGCAAGGGCAAATTGGGGGAAAAATTGGAATGGAGAGCTCAGAATCTGGCCCCAGAGAAGGGCAGAGGGAAAGGGGACCCAGTTCAGAATCTTGGTGCGTCCACACCAAACAATTCCATGAGGGCTGAGGAGACAGAGCTGAAAGGCTTGTCTGACATCACAAGAGACAGAAAAGTGAGCCCAATTTTCGCCTCTATCCTGACAATGTTCCTGGCTTGATTTCCTCCTTCCAGCAGACACAAGAATCAGGGAGCGCACCCTGATGGTAACATTTTTTTCAGGGGCCTATTTTGGGGATCCTGGTGAGAACCTGACTCCGTCACTGACCTCGGCAGCCCAGCATGGTCCCCAGTGCGTGGCCCAAGGCCAAGATTCTCTACCTCCATCCTGGAGGCAGAAGAAATGTCTGGGGGAAAATGAGAGGTTTTAGGTGGTTGGCACTGGGTGAGATCAAGGAGAAATTTTTAAAGCTGTGTGTCCTGGGGCCGGGGGCGGTGGCTCAGGCCTGTAATCCCAGCACTTTGAGAGGCCTAGGCGGGTAGATCACGAGGTCAGGAGATTGAGACCATCCTGGCTAACGGTAAAACCCCGTCTCTACTAAAAATACAAAAAATTAGCCGGGCTTGGTGGCGGGCGCCTGTAGTCCCAGCTACTCGGGAGACTGAGACAGGAGAATGGCATGAACCGGGAGGCGCAGCTTGCAGTGAGCTAAGATCGCGCCACTGCACTCCAGCCTGGGTGACAGAAAGAGACTCCTTCTCAAAAAAATAAAAATAAAATAAAAGTAGAAAATAGAAAAAGCTGTGTGTCCTTTGTTTCTTCATATTTTGCAGATTTTTGATGTCAAAATATTTTCATAGTCAAAAGAGTGTTAATAAAGAATGACTTCTCTGTTATAAAAACCCTAATAGTGAATGTATTTACCAAGAAGTTAGATTCTATCTTTGGTTTTTTGTTTTTTGCTCCATAGTTTTTTAAAAAATAGTTTTATTGTATGGATATTCTACAGTTAGTGTATCTATTCACCTCTTGATGGACATTTGGTTTGCTTCCGGTTGTTTTTGCTATTACAAATAAAGTTGCTATGAATGTTTGTCTAATCGTTTGGACATACACTTTCATTTGTCTTGGGCAAATAAGCAGGATTTGAATGACTAGGTGGTGTGATATGTTTAACTTTTTTTTTTTTTTTGAGACGGAGTCTCGCTCTGTCACCCAGGCTGGAGTGCAGTGGTGCATGGCGGCTCACTGCAAGCTCCGTCTCCCGGGTTCACGCCATTCTCCTGCCTCAGCCTCCGGAGTAGCTCGCCACCACGCCCGGCTAATTTTTTGTATGTTTAGTAGATATGGGGTTTCGCCGTGTTAGCTAGGATGGCCTCAATTTCCCAACCTCGTGATCCGCCCGCCTTGGCCTCCCAAAGTGCTGGGATTACAGGCGTGAGCCACCGCTCCCAGCCAGTTTAACTTATAAAGAAACTGACAAAGTGGCTGTATTTCCAGCAGCAGCGTATGAGCATTCCTGTTCCTTTGTGTTCTCACCAATGTTTAGTATGGCCAGTCTTTTAAATTTTAGCTATTCTAATAGGCATGTAGCAGTATCTCATTGTGGTTTTAATTTACATTTCCCTAATGATGAATGATGTTGAACATCTTTCAATGTGCTTACGTTATCATCCATCTGTATTCTATGGTGAAATGTCTGTTCAGATCTCTACATTTGTGTTAGACTATTTGTTTTCCTATTATTGAGTCCTGAGAGTTCTTTGTATATTTTGGATAACAAATGTATCTTCACCAGATATAGCTTTTGTAAATTTTTACTCCCAGTCTGTGATTTGTCTTTTTATTCTCTTGATAGTGTTTTTCTTTTTCTTTTTTTTTTTTTTTGACAGAGGCTGGCTCTGTCACCCAGGCTGGATTGCAGTGGCACGATCTCGGCTCACTGCAAGCTCTGCCTCCCGGGTTCATGCCATTCTCCTTCCTCAGCCTCTCCGAGTGCCTGGGACTACAGGCGCCCGCCACTATGCCCGGCTAATTTTTTGTATTTTTGGTAGAGAGGGGTTTCATCGTGGTCTAGATCGCCTGACCTCGTGATCCACCCACCTCGGCCTCCCAAAATGCTGGGATTACAAGCATTAGCCACCGCTCCTGGCCTCTGGACAGTGTTTTTCACAGGTCAGATTTTTATATAAATCATTTATTTTATTTTTATTATGTAAAATTTTATAATTTTTAATTTTATTTTTAATTTCCTTTTTAAAAGGTAAATAAAATTTTAAGTGTAATGATGCAAAATTTAGTTTAAAAGTAAATGTATATAAAAGTGTTGATATAGACTAAAACATTGAATAAGTAAGAAGGTAGTTAGTTGTCACAGTAGGAGTGAAGTGAAAAGCTTTGCCTTTCACCCTCTGAAGATTACCTGAAATGAACTGACCATACACAGATTAATAAAAGAAAGGGTATACAAACTTACATAACCTGCAAAAACATGAGAGCTATACACAAAGTATAAGACTTGAAGATGGCTCAGATCTTAAACGCTCTCCTCATAGGCAATAGATATATAGACCCAGGATGCAGACATTATTTTGTAAATAATTTCCTTTGGAAGCTGGATGGGATAGACAAATTACGGGAAGGTGAGAGATGGAACTGCACAGGAAAAAAGTTTGTCTTTGTCACTTTAATCTTATCATTACTAGAGAATATTTATGAATATTTTAGAATAATATATTTTTAAGCCCAAACCTCACCAAATGTTTTTTCTAAAACAAATACTTTTTGTTGTTGTTTGTTTTTATTACTGTGTCTCACTCTGTCACCCAGGTATGGAGTGCAGTGGTGCAACCACGGCTCACTGCAGCCTTCACCTCCTGGGCTCAAGTGATTCTCCTACCTCAGCCTTTCAAGTAGCTGGGCTAGAGGCATGCACCATCATGCCCTGTTAATTAAAGAAAAAAAAAATTTGTTAGTGACCAAGTCTCATTATGTCACCCTGGCTAGTCTTGAACTCCTGGAATCAACTGATCCTCATGCCTTGGCTTCCCAAATTATTGGGATTATAGGTGTGAGCCACAGTGCCTGACCACATATTTCTATACTTCACTGAGGAAAGGAAGGTGCTAGGAAAATTGGTTAAGAACTATTTTTTAAAAAGCCATTAGTAGTGTTTTATTTTATTTTTTAATGATTGATTGATTTTTGAGATTGGGATCTCACTATGTTGCCCAGGCTGGTTTCACATTCCCAAGTTTAAGCAATACCCCTGCCTCAGTCTCCCAAGTAGCTGGGATGACAGGTGTGTGTCACCATACCCAGCTCCATTAGTAGCGTTTTTAACAATTGTGGGCCACTGAGTAAGAATAATTTTTTTAAAATTAGTTATTTTTTAAAAAGCACATTTGTAGAAAATTACTAGCATAATCTGCCTAAAATAAATATACATATTGAAAAAATCTTTGCTCTGAACAAAAAGAAATATAATCACCACACATACATACATACACACACACACGCACACACGCACACACACACACACACACACATTATGGAAGATTTCAAGACCAGGCAATAATTTCCACTCAATCCAAAAACAATGCAATCCCAGAGCTGAATATTTAGGTGAAAAATATATCAGGAATGGGAGGCATTCAGGTTTAATTTTCATGTTTTGGTAGAGTTAGGATGTGAGTTTTCATTTAAAAATATTCTTTTTTTTTTGCTACTATTGTGGTTTCTGTATTGTTACTATAAAATCTGTAAACTAAATAGTAAAGGAGAGAAAAGTGATTTTCAAAGAAGCTGGCTTGGGAACAGGTACTATTCTGGGAAGATGAAAGGTTTCACTTAATGACTGGTACCTGTGCCACTCTGGTTATTTTAACTGTTAACCTTTTAGCAAGAGGTTTTTCTTTTAAAAGACATCCTTTAATATTTGGGAAGCTAGTGCAATAGTACACATTGAGGCCCACAAACCACATGCCAAGTATTTAAAAGGCATATTTCTAGCTAACCACTGTACATACATATATTTTTTCTCTCTTATTTTCTTATTTTAGTTTTTTTCCTTGTCAACAATTTATGTCCACACATATCTTCTATCATCCCACTTTGACAAGTAATATCATACCTTCAAAATGATGTGGAAGACTAGATTGGAATTTAGAACCGTAGAACCTTGTAATTGTACAGGCAAGTTTCTTCCTGGGAAAAAATAAAACAGGAAGAAAAGGCTGGGCAGCCTCTGGTTCAGGAAGGAAATTCGGGAGTCCCTTATAGCAGCATCTCTAGTACTTGGGATCCGAACAGACTTCTCGGCCTGTGAGGCTGGAATGGGCCCTTCTGGAGAACATGACAGAGAAGTTATCTACTGCCTTTGCCCCCAGGGCCCAGGCAACACTTTTACCCTCCATTGTTTCCGAAGTTAAGGGGAGGAGACAATGTTTTGTTTAGTGAACTCAACAGAAAAAGTGTCCTCCTGCAACCACTCATTGGTTACTTTCCTTCTTCCTGAATTGCCTGGACCCACTCCTCCTCCATTTGACTGGCTCTGTGCACTGATGTTATAGTCAGGAGATTTTTGGGAATTGTGGCTTCTAAAAATGTACACCCGACTCTACCCATAGCTGGCCCTGTGAACCTACACACCTGCTCCACTGTGTCCCCTTCTCAAAGACACACTCTTCCTGCTGAGTCTCTGCCCTCTGCTCCTAGATCCAAATGGCATCTCCTAACCTATCCCTGTATGGCTTAACTTAGGGAAACTCTTTCCCAGAGGAGTCAGGTAAGGAGACGGTGGCTGAGCTTCTTACAGACTTAAAGGAGACATCCTGGAATTTAGGAGTCCGTCCTTCCTTTCTGTAATCCCTGGCAGCTCCTGCTGCTGCTCAAAGTTTAGCTTTGTCTCTCACCCAGCTCAGACTGTTGCTGGTCCTGATGGCCTCTGCTTAGCGGTATTAGTACGTTCTTGCATTGCTATAAAGAAATACATGAGAAATACCTTTAGTTGGCTCACGGTTCCATAGGCTATACAGGAAGCATGGTGGTTTCTGCTTCCGGGGAGGCCTCAGGAAACTTTTACTCAAGGTGCAGGGCAAAAAAAAAAAAAAAAAAAAAAAAAAAAAGCTACCAGCACTGCACTGTGAGGCCCTGATCCCTGAACTAACTTCATATTATTACCTCTACAGCAAGTGTCTGTGAGAACATAGGTATATTTCTTATGTGAGTACACAATTTACAGAAGAGGAACTACCCTCCCAAACCAAAACAAAATGTCATAATTTTAATTTACCAGCAAACCTAGGTTGCTTCTGTGAAATGATCTCATTTGCTGAGTTTTAAAATTGACTAAATTTCCCAATTTCCAAATGAAAATATTTAGTTATCTTGTCTTGCTATGTGTTTTTGGTTAATATGATGATTAATTTTTGGTCTATTACTTAATATATTCCATGATTTTTGATATGGATTATAAGGACTCACAAAATAGTTTTCAGATGTCTTTAATTTTTTTACTTAGCGTAGATCCTATAAATGGATTAGGAGTATTCTATTAACTCCCATGTATTCAGAAATCGAATTGGAATGGTAAATTCTGTTTGAAGTAACAAGGGATATCAAAGGAAAAAAATAATTTTGTTACTATGTCTTCTATACGTAAATTTTTCAGGCATCTTTATCAATGGCTTATACTAAAGACATTTTCTGGATCATGGGTGACACACAGAAGAAATGTGGATAAGTGGCATTGTGTGCACGACTGCATTTTATCATCTGGTTTATTTTTAAACTTTTATTTCTCTTAAGGATGTTTTATTAACCGGTGCATCACAAGGTTAACAGTCTCTGGAACACTAAACTTACCAGAAAATACTTGTTGATTGAATTAACAAGAAAACAACATTAGAAAACAGTGGTGGCTTGTTTTTGTCTGTTGCAGTATCTTGGAGAGTAAAGCCTAACTCTTTAATTTTGGCCAAAGATATAAAGAAATACCTGAGAAACACCTTTAGTTGGCTCATGGTTCTGTAGGCTATACAGGAAGCATGGTGGTTTCTGCTTCTGGGGAGTCCTCCAACACTTACTGGCAGGGTAATTTTGAAGAAGTCATAATAAGATGGTTGTTACAATTAAATGAAATAATCAAAGTGGAAGAGTTTAGTTAGCTGTCTTCCCTAAATGAATCACTGGCAAGTAAGAGTGTGATTGATTTTCCTACCAGTCAGGACTCACCCCTTGAAGCTATAGGAGGGTAAACCTCTGAAGACCATACAATTTAGGGAACACTAACACCTCAAAAAACTCTGTAAACTTCCTTCCTTCCTTTTCTTCCTTCCTTCCTTCCTTCCTTCCTTCCTTCCTTCCTTCCTTCCTCCTTCCCTCCCTCTCTCTTTCTTTCTTTTCTTTCTTTGTTCATTTTTGAGACAGAGTCTTGTTCTGTCATTCAGGCTAGAGTGTAGTGGCTGGATTATGGCTCACTGCCGCCTTGACCTCCTGGGCTCAAGCAATCCTCTCACCTCAGCCTCCCTAGTAGCTGGGACTACTGGCATGCTCAGCTAATTTTTCCTCCTTTTCTTTTTGTAGAGACAGGGTCTCATCATGTTGCCCAGGCTGGTCTTGGACTCCTTGGATCAAGCAATCCTGCTGCCTCAGCCTCCCAAAGTGCTGGATTACAAGCATGAGCCACTGTGCCCAGCCTTAAGTTTTTTTCATACAGGAGGAAAGAATTTGGGAAAGTAGGTGTGTGTGTGTGTGTTGGTTAGGGAGCCAACACATTTTTCTGCAAAGCTTGAATTCTATGCCTCAGTTTTTCATTTTTGTTATGTGCAAAATAAAATCATATCCTGCTATAGATTTAAACCTGTGAGCGGATCCTACTCAAAACCTGATTCAAACTTTGTGTAGATCTTTGTCTCTCTATGGCATAAGAATAAATTCTTCTGGTTTTCTTCCCTCAGAAAAATGGACTTAGACTTCCCACAAGCCTTCCAGAAAGAACTCACCTGCCTCATCTGCCTGAATTACCTCATAGACCCCATCACTATAGGCTGCGGGCACAGTTTCTGTAGGCCCTGCCTCTGCCTTTGCTGGGAAGAAGCACACACTCCTGCCCTGCATGCAGGGAACTGTCACGGCAGAAAGATTTCAACCAATATTCTTCTGAAGAATCTAGTGTCCATTGCCAGAAAAGCCAGTCTCTGGCAATTCCTGAGCTCTAATGAACAAATGTGCGGGATCCACAGGGAGACAAGGATGTTCTGTGATGTGGGCAAGAGCCTGCTCTATTTTCTGTGTTCTAACTCTCAGGAACACTGGGGCACAGAAACACTGGCTCACTGAAGGGGCAGCTAAGGAACACTGTGTAAGTGATGACTCAGAGCACTTTGAAAGCTGGAGGGCAGCACAAGTAAAGAGATTAGGAGGAAGTTGAAGAGCATGAGGATTAATCTATTCTTTACCGAGTGTCATGTACTGCCTAGGTATCAGTGATATAACTATTATCCTGCTATCAAATCTACTGATAAGTGGCTCATTTAACTTATATGCACTCATCACAATGCAAGAAATCCTCTGACTGCTTCTACCATCATGGCCCCTAGCCATGATATGACTTGTCTCCACACTAGCAGAAACTAATCGAGTCCCTATATTACATATATATATATATATATATATATATATATATATATATATATAATTTTTATATA
This sequence comes from Homo sapiens, assembly GCF_000001405.40. Lineage (NCBI taxonomy): Eukaryota > Metazoa > Chordata > Mammalia > Primates > Hominidae > Homo > Homo sapiens. The sequence goes on along the minus strand of NC_000009.12, from coordinate 43,244,241 downwards.
TAATTTTTATATGATATATAAAACATAAATATTTATACAACATATATTATATACATATATACATACATATATATATTATATACATATATACATACATATATATATTATATACATATATACATACATATATATATTATATACCTATATATACATACATATATATATATATATATATATCACAATGCCAAAAATGTTTTGTCTTCGAAATAATCACAGTGCATTTGGAGAGACAAATGCATCTACAACCAGGCGACAACACTGAAAATAAAATTGTAGCAGTTTGAATAGGGGATTAAATGGGTTAATTTTTTCCTGGGGTTCAAAAAAAGAAACAGCAGCAAAAAATGGTACTTAAGATTGAAAGTTGGCCGGGTGCAGCTGCTCATGCCTATAATCTCAAAACTTTGGGAGGCCAAGGTGGGCGGATAACCTGAGGTCAGGATTTCGAGACCAGCCTGGCCAACATGGTGAAACAACGTCATTACTAAAAATACAAAAATTAGCTGGGCATGGTGGCAGGTGCCTGTAATCCCAGCTACTCGGGAGGCTGAGGCAGGAGAATCTCTTGAACCCAGGAGGCAGAGGTTGCAGTGAGCCAAGATCACGCCATTGCACTGCAGCCTGGGTGACAAAAGCAAAACTCCATCTCAAAAAAAAAAAAAAAAGAAAGTTCTGGGTTATGACACAGAACATATGCAACATGAATATGTCATGGTTATGAACATGTAGACTACTCAAGATTGTATATTTTTAAAATAATAGAATACTAGGTTAAAAAATTAGCATCACAGAATGAAAAATAAGCCACAAATTAGCAGAAGATAATTGTAACACATAAAAACAAAGGATTAAATACAATGGTAATGTAATGATAGCTATTCTTACAAAGTTGTTTCTATGTCTCAGGTACTATTCTGAACAACATACGTGCATCTTGAATGCGTGAAGAATTCCTATATAAGAAAAACACAAACAACAACATTTAAAATGAGCAAAAAACCCGAATAGGAATTTCACAGAAGAGAAAACATAAATGGCCCATAAACATAATAAAAGATGCTCAACTACAATTCTAATCAGGGAAATAAACATTAAAACCCCAAAGAGATACCACTTCATACTCTAGGAAAAACCTAAAAGGCTGTGAATATCTAGTTTCATTGAGGAAGAACAATGGGAAGACTATTCACTGCTGGTGAGGGTGTAGATTGGTACAACTGCTTTGGAGAACAGTATGATGCCACTCAATAGAGCTGAACACACACGTGCCCAATGACCAAGCAATTCCACTCCAGGTACATACTGTAAAAATACTCCTGCACATGTAGAATAGGAGACACTGCATAACAAAGTTCACTACAACATGAGGCTGAGGTGGGAAGACGGCTTGAGACCAGGAGTTCGAGGCTGCACCAGTAGCTGGGACTATAAGCATGTGTCACCGTGCCTGGCTAATTTTTTGCTGTTGTGGTTGTTGTTAGAGATAAGGTCTTCCTTTATTGAACAAGCTGGTCTCCAACTCCTGGCTTCAAGTGATCTTCCCACTTCTGCCTCCCAAAGTGCTGGGATTACAGGTGTGAGCCACCATGCCCGGCCAAGTTCTGCTTCTTAACCTGAGGTAGATACTTTGATGTTTCATTTTCCTTTATTGTACAGATATACTTTATATTCTCATATGTGACACAAGTCAAAATTTAAAAAAACAATTTAATGTTTATTCCCTTTAGATGAATGATGGGCAAATTTACATAATGAATTCATTACTGAAACAATGTATACATTTCAGACTAGGAAAGTAACTATTTATAAAAGAAAAGCTTAAAACCTGAAACAGAAACAAAATCCTGAAACTGTAAAATTGAGTCAAACTAAAATTTAAAAAACAAAGCAATGATATAAAGTATCATTTGTCCAAATGTGTTCTACAAAACGCTTTTTTCTTAAATATGTCTGAGGAAAAACAGGTTCTAGGAGTAAAATATGTTTGAAAAATGCTGGGTTAAACAACTGAACCTATGAAGGAAGGAATAGAACTTCTCAAGCTCTTGACTCTGGAATCTTTTTTACACGGCAATTAACACCATGCTTCTTCTTGGATTTGTATTTCAGATAAACACAATCTGGGAAACATTTTATAATACAGAGGGCCACACCAGATTGAATATTGCCCCCAGGAATGAAATGAAAACAGGAATGGATTCTCCAGTAAGAGGTACCCAGATATCCTAATCTTCAGTAGCTGACCTAAACCCTGGACAAGTGGGATCAAACCCCATAACCAAATACAACTTTTTAGGAACTAAGTGGATAATCACTCTGTGTTGTATGAACACGTGGGCAGTGTGTTTCCTACACAGCTTAAAAGTGCAACAAAAAAAGATCTAGGTGTCATATAAAGAATTTCTACCACAGTTAGGGTAATGGTGGACTGACAGGCAGAGGGTCTTAGATGTGACTTAAGTAAAGTTCAATAGAAGCTTCCAGCACAGATATTCATGTTTCAAATTGGACCACTCAGTTAAAATTTTTCCCATTAGACTTCCCCTAATCAAATAAGAAATTATCTAATTTTCTAATAAAGTTTTCCCCAGGCACAAGGAATCTGTGAACTGGACCTAAAAAATTCTTCGTAATGTGCTTTTATTACCATAAAAGATGCACATTTATTTTAAAAACTTCTCTACACCACTATCATAAACCTTTGCACACACATTTCTTTTGGAAGCTAACTTCTGAGTGGTAATGAAATATATTCTTAAGAAAAAAGTCCGACACAATGCCTTTGCGTCTTAAAATATGTTAAAATGTTATTTGAAAAGAGTCAAACATCTGTCTTTTCAGGGTATCACAGGGCGTCAAACTGGAAAATGTGGCACTGCCTGGAGTTTCTACCTGGTGAAGGGTGGCAGACTTTTCTCTTCAGAGGACTCTTGACAGGGTAGCATCCATTATCTTGCCAATTTACTACAACCTAGGCCCAATCCTCAGTCTTATAGGTTCAGAAATTTATTTTTATCAGCATCAACAGGGTAGCTACATTGCTTAGAAGCAAACAAAATTAACCATGCTTCAATAGAAATCAGGATATAGATGTATTAATACAGAATGACAAATGTAACTGTGACAGAAATAGGAATGCCTGTTTATGGTCATATACGGCCAATACTTTCATTACAGCCAAACTCATACATGCAGCCAAATAAGAGGCCCCTGGATACACAGGGAATCAGAATAAAAAAAGAAGAACTGAACATTTAATAGTCTTCTTTCATTCAATCAATAATTTTTTTTAATTAAGCAACTACTATGTCTGGGTAACCTTCTAGGTCCTGGGGATACAGAGGTCTCTGCTTACAGAAGTCATATGTAAGTAGCAGGTGAAGAGTATGTGTTTCACAGAAGTTTATTACAATATATTAACAAGAGCAAAAAATTTTGGAAGCAATCTAAATGTTCAATAATAGAGCTCCAATTAAATAACAATAAATCCAAATAATGAAAAATAATGCAGCCCTTTAAGAATAAGCACTTGCAAGCCGTAATTCATGACATGGGAAAATTATCATAATGGAAAAAGAAGCAAGCTATATATAGTGCATGATCCTATACACACACACACATACATACATATTTCCTATCCGTTTATATGCATAAGAAAACAA
>NC_000009.12:43236167-43240559 GCF_000001405.40 Homo sapiens | reverse complement strand
TTATGAAGGCCCTTCAGGGATAACACCAGAGTGATGAGGTGCCGTATACCAGGGATAATGGAGACAGAGTTCTTGGGATTCATCACTGGGGTCCTCAAAGCATCTTCCAAGGGCATAATAAGGAAGGACTCAAACACCTTTGAATCTCCGTGAGACCAGGCATGAGGTCTTTTGAAAGAGTTCTTTAACTGGAGTGAATGTCAAAGAGAAGTATAATAAAATAAAAGACCTGAGTAGGGTCCCCCTTGTTCATAAAATGACACTACCTAAATCACCAAATCTCACTGAGCCTTGGTTTAACTCAAGAGGTTCCATGCCACTATAAGAGGTGGTAACTGCCAACTGATAGGAAATATTTTCATATGCATAGTCATAGTGCCCCATATTTATGAACTTCTTAAGAGTCTTCAAAAAGCTTTCTATATACGTTATCCTTTACTTTCTAACTTTTCTAAATACAAGGTGAGAGAGACACAAGTGTTCTATCAAAACAGAATCTTGGCCGGGCACAGTGACTCACGCCTGTAATCCCAGTACTTTGGGAGGCAGAAGCGGGTGGCTCACTTGAGGTCAGGAGTTCGAGACCAACATGGCCAACATGGCAAAACTCCATCTCTACTAAAAATACAAAAAATTAGCCAGGTATGGTGGCAGGTGCCTGTAATTCCAGCTACTCAGGAGGCTGAGGTAGGAGAATTTCTTGAACCCAGGAGGCAGAGCTTGCAGTGAGCAGAGATCACACCACTGCACTCCAGTCTGGGCAACAAGAGCAAAACTTCATCTCACAATAAAAAAAAAAAACAAAAAAAAAACATAAAGACTTTTGCAAGGACCATGTCCCACCCAGAATGGTGCCTGCCTTTCTACAGTTTTTCAGGAAGAGGAAACATTTTCTGCTTCTCTTGCTGAGGCTTTTTTTAACCACCCATTAGGAACGTATAGATTTCAGGATCGAACACTGGGATTCCCTCAGCACTAAAGGAGGAAAATTGCAAACAGAGCTGAAAGTGCAATGTGGAAAGGTCAGGCTGAGGAAGGTTCTTAGCCAGTAGACCAAGGGCAGAAAGGACACTGCCTCCTCAGTCTCCCACTAGGGAACTTGTGATTCTTGTCCCCTGACCTCAGAATTCCTTGTTATGTTTGTTTTGTCTCCAAGGGAAGGGTTTGAATTACAGAATTTAAGGCTAGAGTGGGCCTCCTGCAGTTAACATTAACCCTCTCTCTCCTTCACTGGCCGAGGTGAAGTCCGGGACCATGTAGTTCTGACGTCCACTCTCTCGGGGGATCACCAGTTCACCCATCTCACCCGGCAAGCTGGGCCCTAGTTTGGCAACAGGCATCTTCCACCCACCTGGGAGGCAGGGTTCAACACTCTGCCTCTGACCTTTTTTCCTTCCTCTGCCACCGGCTTAGGCAGCCAGAAGGGGTTGTCCAGCCAACACCTGGGCTTTGGTGTTCCTCAAGCAGGTGGAGGAAGTTTCAGGCACCTGGCTCCTCAGGTGTCTGCCATCCAGCTGCTCTTCAGGCCTGCCCAGCAGAGCTCTCTTGACCCAGCTAGAACTGGCCAGAACTGACTCACTCAGGAATGTGTAGACTTTGGCATCAGGGGCTGCTTTAATTTGCACAATTTCCAAATACCTCTTTTTTCTTCTTTTTCTGATGAGTCATCTCCCTAGACTTGCATTTTAAAGAGATAGATAGTTATCAGTTTCCAGAGAAGACATGGTAGAACATTTATATCTCAAAGACACAGAGCTGAGACTTCAGGTTTAGATACTATAATTTGCCTAAACCAAAAAGGAAGGTGTAGGTAAAGTTCTAGTCAAGACAGGATGGCCAGGAAAAACACCTTAAACCAAGGGATGGCTTGCTTTGCTGATTTAAGCCAATGGCTTCTTTATCATAAGACTTCCCAGTGATTTAGTCCTCCCTCTCTTCCAGTGCACAGAGACATACCCCTCCTTACAAATAAAAATGTTCTTTATAGACGTAAATTTATTTTACAAAAATGTTTCAAAATAACCAGATTAAAAACATCCTTATGCCAGAAAGACTTTTTTTTTTATTACTAGAAATGAAACAGTAAGTACTTGTTGTATTGACATACTTAGGCTTAGACCTATGTTTAACAAGAAAGCCTAATAATAGCACTGTGGTTAGACTGTAGCCTATTTTTCCAAACCATCATTTTATTATTAAGGAAAGAAAGGATCAAATGCCTTTCATTCATCTGATATGATCCTTTAAAACACACTCCACTAATAAGTCCCATTTGGAACAGCTGAAAAATCTTTTAATAAAACTTTTTAAAGATGAGCTCATGGCTTAGTGTAAATTTCACAAGCTTAATTAGGTCAAATGGAAGGAACTCAGATGAGTAGTTGCCCAATAGAGCCCATTATTTGTAAGTCATCAGCCACTTTCATGACCTTAAAACTCCACTCTGACCTAATTATTGCAAACCTATATACAACAAAGTGAAAGGATTAATTTTCATTCATCAACCTCTCAATCCCAGATTTTCAAAGAAAAAAACCTATGTAAGGAATACTTACCAAAACCAGGCAGGAAAATTAGAGCCTGCATACTTAAGAGTCAAATTTGTTCCACTACAGCCAGGTCACATACAATTACATGATTTGGTTCTTCATACACTCTGGAACTGACCAGGACAGAGTTTAGCATAGAAAAACTGTAAGAAATAGGTTCCAAAACATAGAAATTGCAAAGTCCAAAAGGCTATGAAAAAAACTAATGTAAATGAGAGACTCCCCTCCCTTTGTTTTAAAGAAATAGACCCATCACAGAAATGCAAATCAAAACCACAATGAGATACCATCTCACACAAGTTAGAATGGTGATCATTAAAAAGTCAGGAAACAACAGGTGATGGAGAGGATGTGGAGAAATAGGAACACTTTCACACTGTTGGTGGGACTGTAAACTAGTTCAACCATTGTGGAAGTCAGTGTGGCCATTCCTCAGGGATCTAGAACTAGAAATACCATTTGACCCAGCCATCCCACTACTGGGTATATACCCAAAGGATTATAAATCATGCTACTATAAAGACACATGCACACGTATGTTTATCGCGGCACTATTCACAATAGCAAAGACTTGGAACCAACCCAAATGTTCAAAAATGATAGACTGGATTAAGAAAATGTGGCACATATACACCATGGAATACTATGCATCCATAAAAAATGATGAGTTCATGTCCTTTCTAGGGACATGGATGAAGCTGGAAACCATCATTCTCAGCAAACTATCACAAGGACAAAAAACCAAACACCGCATGTTCTCACTCATAGGTGGGAATTGAACAATGAGAACACTTGGACACAGGAAGGGGAACATCACACACCAGGGCCTGTTGTGGGGTGGGGGGAGGGGGGAGAGATAGCATTAGGAGATATGCCTAATATAAATGATGAGTTAATGGGTGCAGCACACCAACATGGCACATGTATACATATGCAACAAACCTGCACATTGTTCATGTGTACCCTAGAATTTAAAGTATAAAAAAACATAAAAAAATAAAAAAGAAATAGATGTTCTGTAAAAATATACACAATTTTTACAGACAAATACATTTATAAGTTGTTTCTATCTTAAAAATTGGGGATATTTCATATTTATAACTAATTATTGAGCCTTAAGTTTTCTTGGCCATTTCTAGGCTAATAAACTAAGAATCATGTAAACTAAGCCAAAGTAGAATAGACATAAAAGTCCTGAACACTTCAACTTCCTATCCTTTAAGAAGTATACCTCGCAAAGCTCATTTGAGAGAGGAAAAGCTTTCCTCCACCCTCGGTTTTACAGTGCTGAGGCTTCTCATCACATTTCTATGACTTGTAGCTTAAATCCATGTCACATGGTCACTGGCATTGTTAGTGCTTCTCTTTTAACACTGTAGGAATTAATCAATTTGGTGGCATATTTAATTAATTCTGTCACTAGAGGATTGTAAAATTACATACATGAATACCTCACTTTAGAGGCCACTTAATTTTTTTTCCAAGGGGATATTTGACTATATTTCACTTGTGTCTTATTTAATGATTTTATAATTTAAACCCTAAATTATAAATCTAGAATTTAGAAAGTATATTTCCCCACTGGACTACATTTTTGCAAATATTATTTTATATGTGCACAAATATTACAAAATCACTGTAGACACCTGAAAACTATATTATCTTTTAAAGGCAATATTTACATTAAACTGGTATAACAAAATTGTTTGGTGCATTTTTTCCAGTACATTTTGTGTATATTACATGTTTAACCTTTTTTTATTCAGCAAATAATTTTTGAGTATCTACTAAGTGCTAGGTTCTGCATTACTAACTGAATTTAAAGAGTGAAATAACAGACATG
>NC_000009.12:41229378-41237752 GCF_000001405.40 Homo sapiens | reverse complement strand
GCCGCCGGTGACGGCGGGACTCTCTGGGAGGCCGGCGGTCCTCGGGTGTAGAGGGAGACAGCTGCCCGGGGGCACGGGCGAGCGCCTCTGGGGGTCCCGGATCCGAGACCCGTGGCCCCGGGGTGGCGGTGACGCCTGGAGTCATGCGGGCTTGGCTGGGCCGGGCTCTTGAGGCAGCCAGGCGCCACTGCTGGCGTCTAGGCCACACCACCCTGAATGCGCCCGCTCGCCTCTGATCTGTTGAAGCTAAGCAGGGTCGGGACTGGTTAGTACTTGGATGGGATTCCGCCTGGTAATAGCGGTACCATAGACTTTTGGCTTCCCGCTCCCTCCTTCTTTCCCCCTTTTGTCTCCGTGCTTCCCAACTGCCCCCCGCCTCTGCTCCCCGTTGACCGCCCCCGTGCCCCAGCCGAAGCCCAGGACCTCCTACTGAAGATCCGCCGCTGCAGCACCGCCAGGCAGCAGCATCCCACCTCTTCCGACTCGCGGCAGCCCCACCCAACCCGGGCGGGACGGGACCGACCCCGAGGGTGCAGGCGCGGGTTCCCTGAGGTCCCGGGTGTCTTCACGCTCCCTGGACTCCCAGGCAATTGTATTCATTCATTCAGCGTCACTGCAACCGTCCAAGCCGGTGGAAGGGGTGAGCAGGGGCAGCGGGTGCCACAGACCCCAGCCAAGACCTCAGCTCCAGAACCCGAGGGCTGCTTTCCCCAGAGGAAGGACATTTTCTTCGCCAGCCACGAGGAAATCCGTCCCTGTGCACCCTGTTTCCCAATGCCACCGACTTCGTGTAAACTCCAGTCCGGAGGAAAGGAGAGAGACCCAGGCCTCGCCCCGTGGACAGGCTCGGCGCCATGGCTCTCGCCAGACACACGAGCACACTCTACAAATCTCAGGGCCCACCGCATCAAGGAGACAGAAAGAAGCAAAGGAAGGACCTTATGAAACGCACCCCCAAAGCAACCAACCAATCGAAGAAAAAAAAACACGTCTCAGGGCTCCATTGGTTTTCCTGGATGGGGGGCCCTGACCCCCTGTTCTAGCCCGGCCCAAGAACCCTCCACCCCACCCCGGCCTGCTGAAAGGTGCCCTGTCTACCTGAGCAGAGCCTCCCTCTCCAAGGCTCTGTCGCTGTCGCTCCACAACTCCCTCACCCTCTCCCTTTCTCTACTTCCCCCTCCACCTCCCGCTCTAATGTGGTGCTCTCTCTTCCCCCCTCTCTCTCTCCTCCCCCCTTTTCTGTCTCTCTCTCTCCCTCTGGTTCTACTTCTCCATCCCTCTCTCCCTTGCTCTCCTTCTGCAGCAGGAGGAGCTGCAGACAGAACCCCTCAGACACCGAGTTGTAGAAGGAGGGGCTTTATTCAGCTGGGAGCATCTGCAGACTCACGTCTCCAAAAACCGAGCTCTCCAAGTGAGCAATTCCTGTCCCTCTTAAGGGCTTACAACTCTAAGGGGGTCCGCGTGAGAGGGTCGTGATGGATTGAGGAAGCAGAGGGTACGTGACTAGGGGCTGCATGCACAGGTAATTAGATTAGAACAAAACAGGACAGGGATTTTCACAGTGCTTTTCTATACAATGTCTGTAATCTATAGATAACATAACCGAGTAGGTCAGGGGTCGATCTTTAACTACCAGGCCCAGGGTGTGGTGCAGGGCTGTCTGCCTGTGGATTTCATTTCTGCCTTTTAGATTTTACTTCTTCTTTCTTTGGAGGCAGAAATTGGGCATAACACAATATGAGGGGTGGTCTCCCTTCAAGCTATCTGTGTCTGTGTCTTTGTGTGTCTGTGTGTGTGCCCGGGTGTGGTGTGTGTGTGTGTGTGTCTGCATGCATGCACCCGTGTGTATCCGTGTGTGTGTCAGGGTGGGTTTGTTCGTGGTAGTGGTGGGGTGTGTCTGGGTGTCCGTCAGCCCCTCTTTCCCGGGATGAGGCTGCCGGGGCTCTAGTGCCAGGGCGGGGCAAAGCAGAGCCTTCTTGCCCCTTTGGCCATGGCGGGTCCTCGTCAGAACAAGCGAAGATGGTGTGAGCATTGTGAGAAAAAGGGCCCATGGGGCTGGGCCGGCTGTTCGCCCCTGGGCAGCCCTGGCGGCTCTGGGTGTGTGGGGCAAGAGGGGGCCTTGCAGGAGGGGCGGTGAGGAATCCAAAATAATTTTTCCGCGGCAAGGCGGAGGACCGGAGGGGACCCCGGGACCGTGGGCCCCGGGCCCTGACGCCTCGGAGCACACCCCGTCCTAAGCGGGCCCCAGGTGTTGGAAGCTCGGGAGCTCAAGAGCCTGGGGAAGGCCTGGAGTCTCAGCGAGAGGGTGGCTGCCTGGAGAGTCCAGAGCCCTGGCAGGGGATGGAGGCCTCTGGCGCCTGGGCTGTCTCGCGCATGGTCTGGCCGCCGGCGACATCGGGACGCTCTGGGAGGTCGGCGGAAAGCACAGCGCGGCGATGGTGGTGCTTGGGCTTAGAGGGGGAGAGCAGCCCGGCCACAGGCAAGCGGCTCTGGGGTGCCTGATCCCAGCCTCGCGGCCCCCGGGTTGGTGGTGATGCCTGGAATCAGGCAGGCGTAGCTGGACTGGGCTCTTGGGCCAGCCAGGCGCCACTGCCATTGTCTACGGCCACACCACCTGGAAAACGAGAGAGACCCAAGCCGCGGCCCGTGGGCACGCTCAGCGCCACTGCTCCTGCCACAGTGACGGGCGCACTCTACAACTTTCAGGGCCCACAGCACCAAGAGGACAGGGAGGAGCCCTTGCTGCCTGGCTCATGAAAGCCCCCTGTGGGAGAGCCCCAGGAGCGCAGGGCATGTGGGGTGCAGGAAGCGCCTTTCCCCACGCCCCGGTGTAGGTGAACTCGATAGAGGAGGGAGGAGGGTGACACCCACCAGGGGTGCTAATTAGTAACCACAGTGGCCTCAAAGAACTCAAATGAAAGGAAGACTTGCAAGTCTCTCACTTTAAGTCCAGAGCTAGAAATGATTAAGCTTAGTGAATATGTAGAATTTTCATAGCTAGAGAGAAGTCAACGCTTGGCTTCAAAACTTCAAAGGATGGGCTGACTCTCTTTGAGGACCACTGCAGCTGGTGACTTTAAGTTACAGCCAGTGCTCATTGACCACTCTGAAAATCTCAGGGCCCTTAAGAATTATGCAAAATCTATTCTTTCTGTGCTCTAGAAATGGAACATCACTGTCTGGGTGACAGCACATCTGTTAATAGCATGGTTTACTGAATATTTTAATCCCACTATTGAGACCTACTGCTCAGAAAAAAAAAAAAACGATTCTTTTAAAAAGATTGTTGGTTGGCCAGGCATAGTGGCTCATACTTGTAATCCCTGCACTTTGGGAGGCCGAGGATCACCTGAGGTCAGGAGTTCAAGACCAGCCTGGCCAAAATGATGAAACCCCATCTCTAATAAAAATACAAAAAAATTAGCCAGGGATGGTGGTAGTACCTGTAATTTCAGCTACTTGGGAGGCTGAGGTAGAAGAATGGCTTGAACCCTGGAGGCAGAGGTTGCAGTGAGCCAAGACCGTACCACTGTACTCCAGCCTGGGCAACAAGAGCAAAACTAAGTCAAAAAAAAAAAAAAGAAAAGAAAAGAAAAGAAAGAAAAAGAAAAAATAAAAGGAAAGAAAAGGAAAAAAGAAAAAAAGATTGCTGCTTATTGACAATTCACCTAGCCACCCAGAAGCTTAGATGGAGATTTACTTGGAAATTAATGTTATTTTCATGGCTGCTAGTACAATATTTACCTTCAGCCTGTGGATCAAGGAGTGGTTTTGACTTTCAAGTGTTTTTATTAATTAATAATTGCATTTTGTAAAGGTATAGCTGTCATAGATAGTGATTTCTTTGATGAATCTGGATAAACTGAATTGAAAACCTTTTGGAAAGGATTCCCCATTAATCTTTTCATGATATTTGAACCTCCTCCCGTGAATCACAAATGTCCTTAATAGCAATCCTTAAATGCCATTAAGGACATTTGTGATTGATGGGAGGAGGATGAAATATTAACATTAACAGGAGTTTGGAAGAAGTTGATTCCAGCCCTCATGGATGACTTTGAGGGCTCAGGATGTCAGTGGAGGAAGTCCCTGCAGATGTGGTAGAAATCACAAGACAACTAGAATTAGAATTAGGGCCTTAAGGTGAGATGAAATTGCTGTAAACTCATGATGAAACTTGAACAAATAGGGAGTTGCTTCTTATGGACGAGCAAAGAAAATATTTTCTTGAGATGGAATCTAATCCAGGTGGAGATGCTATCAACATTGTTGAAATGACAACAAAGGATTTAGAATATTCCATAAACCTAGTTGATAAAGCAGCAGCAGGGTTTGAGAGGGTTTATTCCAATTTTGAAAGAAGTTCTACTGTTGATAAAATGCTGTCAAACAGCATCACATGCTACAGGGAAATCTTTGGTGAAAGGAACAAACTTCATTGTTTTAAAAAATTGACACAGGCTTCCAACCTTCAGCAGCCCCCACACTGATTAGCCAGCAGTCATCAATATAGAGGCAAGACTCTCACCAGCAAAAAGATTATGACTTGGTAAGGCTCAGATATTCATTAGCATTTTTTAGCACTGACGTATTTTAACTTAAGGTATGTACACAGTTTTTTAGACATGCTATTAATTACTAATTAATAATTATTAAATACTCATTAGACTACAATATAGTTTAAGCATAACTTTTATAAGCACTGGGAAATAAAATGTTTATGCAACTAACTTGATTGTAACATTTGCCTTACTGAAGTGGTCTGGAACAAAACCCACACTATCTCTGAGGTGTGCTTGTAGGTTTTTGTTTGTAGCATTTGCTTTACTGCAGTTGTCTGGAACCAAACCCACACTATCTCTGAGGTGTGCTTCTAGGTTTTTGGTTGTTCTTTGTTTTGAGATGGGGTTTCGCTCTGTCGCCTAGGCCAGAGTGCAGTGACATGATCATAGCTCACTGCAGCCTCAAACTGCTGGGTCAAGTGATTTTTCTACCACAGCCTCCTGAGTAGCTGGGACTACAGGCATGCAGCACTATGCCTGGCTATATTTTTTTAATACTTTTTTTGTAGAGACGGGATCTCACTATGTTGCCCACCTGGTCTTGAACTCTGGGGCTCAGGCAATCCAGCCACTTCAGCCTCCCAAAATGCAGCCATTACAGGCTTGAGCAACTGCACCCAGCTTGTCTGCAGTTCTTAAAACAAAAACGGCCAGGTGCGGTGTCTGACACCTGTAATCCCAGCACTTTGGGAGGCCAAGGCAGGTGAATCACAAGGTCAGGAGTTCAAGACCAGCCTGGCCAAGATGGTGAACGCAGTCTCTACTAAAAATACAAAAATTAGCCAGGCGCAGTGGCGGGCACCTGTATTCCCAGCTACTCGGGAGGCCGAGGCAGGAGACTCACTTGAACCCGGGAGGCGGAGGTTGCAGTAAGCCGAGATCGTGCCAGTGCACTCCTGCCTTGCGACAGAGCAAGACTCCATCAAAAAAAAAAATGTAATTTAAAAGATTAAAAGTTACGATAGATTTTTACAAATGTATATATCTACCATTATAGTATCATACAGAATGGTTTTACTGCCGTGAAGATTCTCTGTGCTCTGTGTATCCATCTCTTCCTTCCCCTTGGTCCATGGCAACCACTGATCTTTCTACTGATCCCATAGTTTCACCGTTTCCAGAACGTCATATAATTGGAATCAAACAGTACGTAGACTTTTCGGATTGGCTTCTTCTTTTAGCAATATGCATTTAAGTTTCCTCCATGTATTTTTTTGTGGCTTGATAGTTCATCTCCTGTTAGCAGTGAATAACATCCTGTTGCCATTATACTTTTGTCAAGACTCAGAACGTACAGCGTGAAGAGTAAACGTGAATGTGCACTGTAAGCTTTGAATGATAATGAAGGATCAAGGTAGGTTCCTGGTTGTCACAGGTGTGCTCCTGTGAGGCAGGAAGCTGTAGTGGGGAGGCTGTGTGTGGGGAAAGGGACATATGAGAAGTCTGTACTCTCTGCTCCATTTAGCTGTGAACCTGCACTTCTCTAAAAAATAAAATTAGTTAAAATTAAAAGCAAAAAATTAGAAAAATTAAAACATTACAATGTGTCATATAGTTTTCAAATCACAAGACAGAAAAAGACATAATAAAAGAAACTATAGAAAACAACAAGGATAGGAATAAAACATCAGTGATAGAAGGCAGAAGACAGAAACATGGAGCCAAACACATTAATTTATTTTAATCATTAGTTATACTCATTTATACTAATTTATATTGATTTAACATATTAATTCTGACTAAATGGCATTAAAAGAGGTCTGAAGAATTTGCATGTCACATTCTGGATGACAGGACTCAATAATATTAACTCTTTAGTTTGCTGTAAATCATTTAAAAATATGCTCAAATTCCAATAAAAATTCCAAGAAAAATATTTTCGAACAAGAACATGTGATTTTAAATCCATATATTGAACACACACATACAATGAGAGCCATTATTATAAAATTTACTATAAGATATTTAAGATTATCACTATCCAAAATTAAACAAATTTGAAATGGCACAAAAATAAACACATTAATAAAAGAGAATTAAAAACACAGAAATTGAGTGTAATTTTATCTAGTAACAGGGTAACATTTTAAACCCACAAAACAGAGCGATTGTTCCATTTGTGGTATTAAAATATTGGGTAATGATTTGAGAATATAAAATGACAGAATTGAATCATGGTCCTACATCTTACATAAAAGTTAATTCCAGTATTAAATATAAAAAAAAAGAGAGAGAAAAAAGAAAATTAGATGTGTGTGTTTTATGACCTTGAGAATGAATGTCTTCTAAAATCAAAATTTCAAACAGAAACCATATAAAAAGGAATAAACCTAACGTACCTAAAATGTAAATTCTTATACATTTTAACACCAGGTAAATAGCACAAAACAAACTGGGGAAAATTTTACAGCAGTTATGTTACATGAAAGTTAAAATCCTTATGACATATACAATGTATAAAACAGTATGATTACTGCTATTATTAATAGCATTATGATTACCTGGTCTTCCCGCACACCAGTCCTCTTCTGGTGCCCTGTGGTGAAGCAGAGCCCTCCCTCTCTGGCCACAGTGAGGGATCCAGCAGGAACCTGTGCCTAAACCCACAGAGGGTGTGAGCCAAGCCAGAACATCACATTCCCTCCTGCGAAATGATGCAGATACCCACTCACGACAGAGATTTGGTCCCTCTCTGGAAAAGCTGTGTAACAATTATTGCAGAAACTTGTTTCTTATGTTCCCAGACACATGGAGAAAGCTGGTCTGGAAGACTGATGTCCACATGCTAAGAGAAGCAGTCACTCATAACACACACACTGCACACACCACACCGTGTGCACATGCACACACACCCCACACACAGACACCACACAAACAGCACACACACCATGTGCACATGCACACACACCCCTCACACCCACTGCCCACACCCCACAAACACACCTACTGCACACACACCATGTGCACATGCATATACCCCATACAGACACCACACACTGCACACACACCACACAGAGACACCACACACACTGCACACACACTATGTGCACACACCCCACACACACCACACACACTACATACACACCATGTGCACACACACACCACAGACACCACACACACTGCACACACACCATATGCACATGCTCACACTGCACACAAACACACTGCACACACCGTGTGCACACACACACCCCACACACATACACCACACACAGCACACACACCATGTGCACATGAACACACCCCACACAGACACCACACACACTGCACACACACCATGTGCATATGCACACCCCAGACATCACACACACTATGCACACCACTCCATGTGCACACATGCACCCCAGACACCACACACACTGCACACACACACCATGTGCACACACACACCCCATACACCACACACACACCACACACGCCATGTGCACATGCACACCCCAGACACCACACACTGCACACAGCAGACACCACACTACACACATGCCATGTGCACATGCACACACCCACATACACACCACACTGCACACACCACGTCATGTACACATGCACACCCCACATGCAGAAGCCACACACACGGCACACACACCATGTACACATGCACACACACCACACACCATGCACGTGCACACACACACTCCTCAGACACCACACTGCACACACAACCAAGACACCACACACACTGCACACACCCCACACACACTGCACACACACCATGTGCACACGTACACACACACCACACACTGCACACACACCATGTACACATGCACACACCCCACACAGACACCACCCAGACACCACACACACTGCACACA